>NC_000023.11:76098905-76401935 GCF_000001405.40 Homo sapiens | reverse complement strand
GAGCCACTGCTCCCGGCCTCACTTCAGATCTTTTGATACTTACTCTTTGTACTTAGTTGCTCCAATGTTAAGTGCGTGTACATTTACAATTATTATGCCCTCTTGGTAAATTGATCATTTATCAAAATATAATTACTTTCTGTTTCTTTTCATAGTTTATGACTTAAAGTCTATCTTGTCTAATATAAGTACCTCTGCTCTCTTTTGTTTTTCATTTGTGTGAAATAACGTTTCATCTCTTCAATTTTAGTCTATGTGTATACTTACTTGTAAAGTGAGTTTCTTGTAGACAGCACATAGTTAGATTTTTAAAAAAACAAATCCATTGAGACACACTGTGTCTTTTAATTAGAGAATTTAATTTATTTATATTCAAGGTAATCAATAATAGGTAAGAATTTACTACTTCCATTTTGTAATTTTTTTCTGGTTGTTTTCTGGTTCTCCCTTCCTTCTTTCCAGCCTTCTATTGTGAAAAAGGAATTTTCTCTGGTAATACATTTCAAATTACTCTTGTTGCCCAGGCTGGAGTGCAATGGCACAGTCTCAGCTCACCACAACCTCTGCCTCCTGGGTTCAAGCAATTCTCCTGCCTAAGCCTCCCAAGTAGCTGGGGTTACAGTCATGTGCCACCACGCCTGGCTAATTTTGTATTTTTAGTAGAGATGGGGTTTCTCCATGTTGGGCAGGCTGGTCTCAAACTCCAGACCTCAGGTGATCTGTCCGCCTCAGCCTCCCAAAGTGCTGGGATTACAGGCATGATACACCGTGCCCAGCCACAAGCAAAATCTTATGGCCAATTATTTCAAACTGATGACAATTGAACTCTTTCTTCCTCTCTTCCCATCTTTTTGTGATTTGATGGTTTTCTGTGGTGGTATGCTTTTAATCCTTTATTTTTATATTTTGTGTAGATTCTATAGGTTTTGATTTTGTGGTTACCAGGAGAGCTTACACAAAATATCTTCTATTCATAACAGGCTATTTTAAATTGATAATAACTGAGATTTAACCACATAAGAAACTTTATACTTTTACTTCCTCCTCCCCACTTTTTATGATTTTGATTTCAAAATGTATTTATTTATAGTAATTTGTATTCTTATCTATTTATTATAGTTATATTTTTAATAGATTTTTTAAATTCTCATAGTGGGAATAAAATTGCTTTACCTACCATCCTTACGGTATTAGAGAATTCTGAATATAAGTATGTATTACTTATACAATTGAGTTTTTAACTTTTATTTATTTTTTGTATTTAATTAACAGTTTTTCATTTTGCTTTAAAAACTCCCTTAGCAATTTCTGTAAAGCAGGCCTAGTGGTAATAAACTCCCTTAGCTTTTGTTTGTCATGACAAATTTTTATTTCTCTTTCATTTTTGAATGACAGCTTTGCTGGTTAAAGCATTATTATTTCACAAAATTTTGTTCCTTCAGCACATTGAATATATTATCCGAATCTCTCCTGACCTGCAGGTTTTCTGCTGAAAACCTTGCTGATAGTTGTATTGGAATTCCTTTGAATGTAACATATTTCTTATCTCTTATGACTTTCAGCATCCTTTATTTGTCTTTGATTTTTGATAATTTGATTATGATGTGTCTTAGTGAACTTTTCTTTGGCATGAGTTTGATTGGAAAACTCTGAGTTTCCTGAACCTGGGTGTTTTTGTATTTCTCCAGATTTAGGGAAATTTCAGCCATTTATTCCTTAAACAGCCTTCCTTTCACTTTCTCTTCTCTTTCGGAAACTTGTATTATATGAAAGTTAGTTCTCTTGATGGTGTTCCATAATTCTCATGGACCTCATTTCTTTTTTATTCTTTTTCCTTTTTGCTTTTCTGAGTGGATAATTTCAGACGTCCTATCTTCAAGCTCGCTGAGTCTTCATTTAATCAAGTCTGCTGTTGAAGCTTTCTATTAAATTTAGTTTGATTTTTATATTATCTCTAGGACCTCTTTTTATATTTTCTATCTACTTGTCAAAATTCTCATTTTGTTCATATATTGTTTTCCAAATTTATTTAATGTTTGAATCTGTATTTTCTTGAAGTTCTCTGAACTTCTTTAAGGGATTATCTTGAACTCTTTGTCAGTCATTCATAGATCTTCATTTCTTCAGGATTCACTATTGTAGCTGTATTAATTTCTTTTGGTGGTGTCATATTTTTTCTGATTTTTAAGTAGTCTTTATGTCTCTGCATTGATGCCTGCACTTTTGAGAAAATGGCCATCTCTTCTGACTTTTGCAGGTGTTCTTTGGTGGTGATAAACCTTCACTATTTAGCCTAGCTTAGGACTCTGGATGAGCCAGCTGGTAGCAACTCTGGACAGGCAGAGTTTAGTGTTTCGTTCCCTACCTGGGCTGGGACAGTAATTGCACTCTGAGGTAAAATGGAACTGCTGGCTGTCCTCTACAATCTGGTGAGACCACTAGCTAAACAATGTAGTCAAGTGGGCCTGATGACTAGGCTCTGTTATTGCCTCTGATCAGGCAGGTTTGCAGGCTGTCTTCCATGGCTGGGAAGGCACTGTGTTTGGAATCAGTAGTTGAGCAGTGCTGTGTGTTGGGCTCCAAGGTTGGGTAATGGCTCTGGGGTCACCACTGGGCAACTTGGGTTGGACAGGGTCAGAGTCTATGCTTCACAGATATGTATAGACTTCAACTTGCCTCTTGGTCTAGGATAGCCCCAAGCAGAGCACTGAGGCTTAGTAAGGTCACCACTCATTTGCTGAGTTTTAGTGCTTTCTCCACAGATAATTGATGACTTGCACTTTTCTCCTATCTTAGGAAAGGCTTGAGGAGAGCACTGGGGCTTGGTTGGGCCAGCACTCAACTTCTGGGTTTGACTGGGGCCAGATGCTCCCTCTGTGGATAGCTGCTGACTTTCCCTTGCTTCCCAGACTGATGCAAGCTAAAGGAGAGGACCAATACTATGTGGAGAAGCTGGCTAGGGACTTGTGCCTGGCAAACATGCAGATCATGCTTCCAGCAGAGTAATGCTATTGGCTAATCTCTCTGGTGTGGTACCCCTCTTGGCTGGAAGGCAGCATCACCACCAAGAACTGTGTGCTGATTGCTGCAAGCCCCACCCCCATTCTTTCTTTCTAACCGACCCAAGACGGCCTAGTTCTGCTGATACCTGCAATGTTTTCTGTCATGTGAGATAGGAGTGGGCCTCCTGAAAAGAGTCCCAGAATGGTGGGGTAGCTGAATGTCTGCCTCCAACTTTCTTTTCCCACTGTAGAAACCATGGGCAAGGGGAATTTTCTGTGTGTGGCACCGTGCCAACTTGGAGGAGAGCCAATGCAGTAAGAGAAACTGTTTCTCTTACACATAAAATGTGGAGTTCTGCGGTCCAAGGGGGTGTTTCAGTCTCATTCCCAAGTTCTGAGATACTGACAAAGGTATTCTTGTTTGCAGATAGTTGCTACTTGGATTTCCATGAGGGGTAATAGAGCTAGAGAACGCCTATTCCACCTTCTTGTTGACATCACCCTCCTTATTAAGATGGATATGACATCTATGTGATCAAGTTAAACTTGGCCTTGCTGGAATGTCACAATTTCATAAGGAAATAGCCACGTGCATTGTCATTGATGTTATGTTGTCAAAAATCCCAGAAATGGGATTTTTAAAATATTGTTCAATGGATACTGGAGATAGGATGGTCAGCACTGTCAAAAAAGAAAAGCAATGGAGGAAGCACAGGATATAAGGGAGCCAGAAAATGAACAGATGCAACCTGTGACCCTTATTAAAACATTCCAAATTCAATGCAGGGGATAGAACAAAGTGCTTAATAGGCTAAGCTGTTCACGATACTACTAGACACAGAGTATGCCCTTGAGAAACATTCTCCTAAGGTTTATGTTTTGATCAACTCCCGCTTTGCAGCTAATGGGCTAATTATTTGGTCAGGACTTTGGCAAAATCAGGGCTTTAAAAACAGGGCCAAGACATTGGGGGTAGAGAGATGGGAATAAATTTCACCATTGGCTCCCACTCTTCCCATATTTGTGTACCATACCTTGACTCACAACAGACAAGACACAGAGGAGGTGGTATAAAGTGCAAAAAGCCAATAAACTAACAAAACCACCAAAGCAGGTAAATATCTTGAAGGACAGGGTGTTCCTAGAACTTTGATATGAACCCTTCAATGCTTCTACCAGTGGGCACAAGAGACATCAGGGCATTTGGATATGATGGGGTTTAAAAATGGATTAAGAGGAGTGGCTACAGCAAAGAGACATTCACATAAAGCTACCAAGAACTGTACTACACTCGAATAATCTGGACACTAGGCCTACCTTATGGAAAGATAAATTTAAATAGAAGGGTCAATCAAAACTTGGAAAACAATTTCATTGGTTCTCTCTCTGCAAGTGGCAGGAACCATTGAATATGCCTTAGCAATTATGTATACTTCTACAGGCTTTTTATTGGATTACCAATACAAAACACCAACCTCTGCTGATGTTATTGGGTGGTTAACAAAACAGCTTTTATATTCTTTGGGAATAACACAAGTTACACAGTAAAAACAAAGCTTCCACTTCACTGTAAAGCAAGTGCAAATGTAGGCATTACAAAATAACATTGCTGGCCAGGCATGGTGGCTCATGCCTGTAATCCTAGCACTTTGGGAGGCTGAGAACAGAGGATATCTTGAACTAAGGGGTTCAAGACCATCCTGGGCAGCAGGGCAAAACCTTGCCTCTACAAAAATAAACCAGCCAGGCATGGTGGTGTGTACCTGTAGTGCAAGCTATTCCAGTGGTTGAGGTTGGAGGATTGCTTGAGTATGGGAGGCAGAGATTGCAGTGGGCCATGATGGTGCTACTGTACTCTAGTCTAGGTGACAGAGTAAGACAGTATCTCAAAGAAAACAATGCTTAACTTTTTGGCCTACCCTATCTTCCTGGAAACAGTTCACACAGAAAGACATGGGCTTTTATTTATTTAAATGGGTTACACAGAAAGACAATGGGTTTTTTTTTTTTAAAGAGACACAGTTTCTCTCTGTTGCCCAGGCTGGAGTGCAGTTACATTACCACAGATCAGAGTAACCTTGAACTCCAGGGCTCAGGCAATCCTCCCACTTCAGCCTCCTGAGTAGCTGAAATTACAGGTGCATGTTATGTCACCATGCCCAGCTAATTTTTAATACTTTTATAGAGATTAGGTATCACTATGTTGCTCCGGCTTGTCTCAAACTCCTGACATTCCAGCAATCCTCCCACCTTGGTCTCCCAAAGCAGTGGGATTACAGGTATGAGTTACCGTGCTCAGCCTGACATGGGTTTTAAAACAATGGCAATTGAAACAACCTGGAGTGTGGAGCCAAGGTGGCCAAATAGGAACAGCTCCAGTCTACAGCTCCCAGCATGAGCGATGCAGAAGACAGGTGATTTCTGCATTTCCAACTGAGGTACCGGGTTCATCTCACTGGGGAGTGTCGGAAAGTGGGTACAGGACAGTGGGTGCAGTGCACTGAGCATGAGCCGAAGCAGGGCGAGTTATCACCTTACCCGGGAAGCACAAGGGGTCAGGAAATTCCCTTTCCTAGTCAAAGAAAGGGGTGAGAGATGGCACCTGGAAAATCGGGTCACTCCCACCCTAATACTGTGCTTTTCCAATGGTCTTAGCAAATGGCACACCAGGAGATTATATCCCGTGCATGGCTGGGAGGGTCCTACACCCACAGAACCTCAATCATTGCTAGCACAGCAGTCTGAGATCAAACTGGAAGGCGGCAGCAAGGCTGGGGGAGGGGCACCTGCCATTGCAAGGCTTCAATAGGTAAACAAAATAGCTGAGAAGCTCGAACTGGGTGGAGCACACTGCAGCTCAAGGAGGCTTGCCTGCCTCTGTAGACTCCACCTCTGGGGGTAGGGCATAGCCAAATAAAAGGCAGCAGAAACCTCTGCAGACTTAAATGTCCCTGTCTGACAGCAGTGAAGAGAGTAGTGGTTCTCCCAGGACACAGCTGGAGATCTGAGAACGGACAGACTGCCTCTTCAAGTGGGTCCCTGACCCCTGAATAGCCTAACTGGGAGGCATCCCCCAGTAGGGGCAGACTGACACCTCACACGGCTAGGTACTCCTCTGAGACAAAACTTCCAGAGGAATGATCAGGCAGGAACATTTGCTGTTCACCAATATCAGCTGTTCTGCAGCCTCCGCTGGTGATACCCAGGCAAACAGGGTCTAGAGTGGACCTCTGGCAAACTCCAACACACCTGCAGCTGAGGGTTCTGACTGTTAGAAGAAAAACTAACAAACAGAAAGGACATCCACACCAAAACCCCATCTGTACGTCACCATCATCAAAGACCAAAGGTAGATAAAACCACAAAGATGGGGAAAAAACAGAGCACAAAAACTGGAAACTCTAAAAATCGGAACACCTCTCCTCCTCCAAAGGAATGCAGCTCCTCACCAGCAATGGAACAAAGCTGGATGGAGAATGACTGTGACGAGTTGAGAGAAGAAAGCTTCAGATGATCAGACTACTCCAAGCTAAAGGAGGAAGTACAAATCCATGGCAAAGAAGTTAAAAACCTTGAAAAAAAATTAGACGAATGGCTAACTAGAATAACCAATGCAGAGACGTCCTTAAGGGACCTGATGGAGCTGAAAACCATGGCATGAGAACTACATAATGCATGCACAAGCCTCAGTAGATGATTTGATCAACTGGAAGAAAGGGTATCAGTGATGGAAGATGAAATGAATGAAATAAAGTGAGAAGAGTACTTTAGAGAAAAAAGAATAAAAAGAAATGAACAAAGCCTCCAAGAAATATGGGACTACGTGAAAAGACCAAATCTACATCTGACTGGTGTACCTGAAAGTGACGGGGAGAAAGGAACCAACTTGGAAAACACTCTGCAGGATATTACCCAGGAGAACTTCCTCAATCTAACAAGGCAGGCCAACATTCAGATTCAGGAAATACAGAGAATGCCACAAAGATATTCCTCGAGAGGAGCAACTCTGAGACACATAATTGTCAGATTCACCAAAGTTGAAATGAAGGAAAAAATGTTAAGGGCAGCCAGAGAGAAAAGTCGGGTTACCCACAAAGGGAAGTCCATGAGACTAACAGTGGATCTCTCGGCAGAAACTCTACAAGCCAGAAGAGAGTGGGGGCCAATATTCAACATTCTTAAAGAAAAGAATTTTCAACCCAGAATTTCATATCCAGCCAAACTAAGCTTCATAAGTGAAGGAGAAATCAAATACTTTACAGACAAGCAAATGCTGAGAGATTTTGTCACCACCAGGCCTGCCCTAAAAGAGCTCTTGAAGGAAGCACTAAACATGGAAAGGAACAACCGATACCAGAGCAGAAGTGAAGGAAATAGAGACACAAAAACCCTTCAAAAAATCAATGAATCCAGGAGATGGTTTTTTGAAAAGATCAACAACATTGATAGATCACTAGCAAGACTAATAAAGAAGAAAAGAGAGAAGAATCAAATAGACACAATAAAAAATGATAAGGGGGATATCACCAACAATCCCACAGAAATACAAACTACCATCAGAGAATACTATAAACACCTCTATGCAAATAAACTAGAAAATCCACAAGAAATGGATAAATTCCTCGACACACACTCTCCCAAGACTAAACCAGGAAGAAGTTGAATCTCTGAATACAACAATAACAGGCTCTGAAATTGAGGGAATAGTTAATAGCTTACCACCCAAAAACAGTCCAGGACCAGATGGATTCACAGCCGAATTCTACCAGAGGTACAAGGAGGAGCTGGTACCATTCCTTCTGAAATTATTACCATCAATAGAAAAAGAGGGAATCCTCCCTAACTCATTTTATGAGGCCAGCATCATCCTGATACCAAAGCCTGGAAGAGACACAACAAAAAAAGAGAATTTTAGACCAATATCCCTGATGAACATTGATGCAAAAATCCTCAATAAAATACTGGCAAACCGAATCCAGCAGCACATCAAAAAGCTTATCCACCATGATCAAGTGGGTTTCATCCCTGGGATGCAAGGCTGGTTCAACATACGCAAATCAATAAATGTAATCCAGCATATAAACAGAACCAATGACAAAACCACATAATTATTTCAATAGATGCAGAAAATGCCTTTGAGAAAATTCAACAACCCTTCGTGCTAAAAACTCTCAATAAATAAGGTATTGATGGGATGTATCTCAAAATAATAAGAGCTATCTATGACAAACCCACAGCCAATATCGTACTGAATGGACAAAAACTGGAAGCATTCCCTTTGAAAACTGGCACAAGACAGGGATGCCCTCTCTCACCACTCCTATTCAACATAGTGTTGGATGTTCTGGCCAGGGCAGTCAGGCAGGAGAAGGAAATAAAATGTATTCAATTAGGAAAAGAGGAAGTCAAATTGTCCCTGTTTGCAGATGACATGATTGTATATCTAGCAAACTCCATCGTCTCAACCCAAAGTCTCCTTAAGCTGATAGGCAACTTCAGCAAAGTCTCAGGATACAAAATCAATGTGCAAAAATCACAAGCATTCTTATACACCAATAACAGACAGAGAGCCAAATCATGAGTGAACTCCCATTCACAATTGCTTCAAAGAGAATAAAATACCTAAGAATCCAACTTACAAGGGCTGTGAAGGACCTCTTCAAGGAGAACTACGAACCACTGCTCAATGAAATCAAAGAGGATACAAACAAATGGAAGACCATTCCATGCTCTTGGGTAAGAAGAAATCAATATCATGAAAATGGCCATACTGATCAAGGTAATTTGTAGATTCAGTGCCATCCCCATCAAGCTACCAATTACTTTCTTCACAGAATTGGAAAAAACTAAAGTTCATATGGAACCATAAAAGAGCCCGCATTGCCAAGTCAATCCTAAGCCAAAAGAACAAAGCTGGAGGCATCACGCTACCTGACTTCAAGCTATACTACAGGGCTGCAGTAACCAAAACAACATGGTACTGGAACCAAAACAGAGATATAGACCAATGGAACAGGAAAGAGCCCTCAGAAATAATGCTGCATATCTACAACCATCTGACTTTGACAAACCTGACAAAAACAAGCAATGGGGAAAGGATTCCCTATTTAATAAATGGTGCTGGGAAAACTGGCTAGCCATATGTAGAAAGCTGAAACTGGATCCCTTCCTTACACCTTATAAAAAATGAATTCAAGACGGATTAAAGACTTAAATGTCAGACCTAAAACCATAAAAACCCTAGAAGAAAACCTAAGCAATACCATTCAGGACATAGGCATGGGAAAGGACTTCATGTCTAAAACACCAAAAGCAATGGCAACAAAAGCCAAAATTGATAAGTGGGATCTAATCAAACTAAAGAGCTTCTGCACAGCAAAAGCAACTACCATCAGAGTGAACAGGCAACCTACAGAATGGGAGAAAATTTTTGCAATCTCCTCATCTGAGAAAGGGCTAATATCCAGAATCTACAATGAACTGAAACAAATTTACAAGAAAGAAACAACCCTATCAAAAAGTGGGCAAAGGATATGAACAGACACTTCTCAAAAGAAGACATTTATGCAGCCAAAGGACACATGAAAAACTGCTCATCATCACTGGCCGTCAGACAAATGCAAATCAAAACCACAGTGAGATACCATCTCACACCAGTTAGAAAGGTGGTCATTAAAAAGTCAGGAAACAACAGGTGCTGGAGAGGATGTGGAGAAATAGGAACACTTTTACACTGCTGGTGAGACTGTAAACTAGTTCAACCATTGTTGAAGTCAGTGTGGCGATTCCTCAGGGATCTAGAACTTGAAATACCATTTGACCCAGCCATCCCATTACTGGGTATATACCCAAAGATTATAAAACATGCTGCTATAAAGACACATGCACACCTATGTTTATTGCAGCACCATTCACAATAGCAAAGACTTGGAATGAATCCAAATATCCAACAATGGCAGACTGGATTAAGAAAATGTGGCACATATACACCATGGAATACTATGCAGCCATAAAAAATGATGAGTTCATGTCCTTTGTAGTGACATGGATGAAACTGGAAACCATCATTTTCAGCAAACTATCGTAAGGACAGAAAACCAAACACCGCATGTTCTCACTCATATGTGGGAACTGAACAATGAGGACGCATGGACACAGGAAGGGGAATATCACACACCGGGGCCTGTTGTGAGGTAGGAGGAGAGGGAGGGATAGCATTAGGAGACATACCTAATGTTAAATGACGAGTTAATGGGTGCAGCACACCAACATGGCACAAGTATACATATGTAACTTACCTGCATATTGTGCACCTGTACCCTAGAACCTAAAGCATAATAAAAAAAAGGAAAAAAGAAAATCAGAATTATATCAAGTATCCTCAGACCACAGTAGAATGAAACTGGAAATTAACTTCAAAAGGAACCCTCAAAGCTATACAAATATACAGAAATCAAACAATCTGCCTTTTAATGATATTTTGATCAACAATAAAATCAAAATGGAAATTTAAGAATTCTCTGAAATGCACAAGAACAGTTACACAACTTATCAAAATCTCCAGAATACAGCAAAAGCAATGTTAAGAGAAAAGTTCATTGGATTAAATGCCTATATCAAATAGTCTCAAAGAGTACAAATAGACAATCTAAGCTCACACCTCAAGGAACTAGAGAAACAAGAAAAACCAAACTGAAACCCAGCAGAAGAAAATAAATAACAAAGATCAGGACTACATGAAATTGAAACAAAAAAGATATTACCATAGATAAACGAAAGAAAGAGGGGGTTCCTTCAAAAGATAAACAAAATTGATACGCCATTAGTGAGATTAACCAAGAAAAGAAGAGAGGAGATCCAAATAAGCTCCATTAGAAATAAAATGGAAGATATTACAAATGATACCACAGAAATAGAAAAAATCACCCAAAGCTACTAGGAACACATTTATGCACACAAACTAGAAAACCTAAAAAAGATGAATAAATTCCTGGAAATATGCAACCCTACTTGATTAAGTCAGGCAGAAATAAAATCTCTGAACAGACCAATAACAAGTAGCAGGACTGAAACAGTAATAAAAAAAATTGTAAACAACAAAATCCAAGACCAGATGGATTTACAGCTGAGTTCTATCAGACATTCAAAGAAGAATTGGTACCAGTCTTATAGAAACTATTCCAAAAGATAGAGAAAGAAGGAATCCTATCTATATTATTCTACGAAGTCAGTGTCACCCTAATATCAAAACCAGGAAAGGCCATAAAAAATAAAATGACAGACCACTATCCATGAGAAACATCAATGCAGAAGTCCTCAACAAAATACCAGCTCACCAAATCCAACAGCATATCAAAAAGATAATACATCATGATCAAGTGGGTCTAATACCAGGGATGCAGGGATGGTTTAGCATACTCATGTCAATAAATGTGATACACCACATAAACAAAATTAAAAACAAAAATAACATTATTATGTCTATAGATACTGAAAAAGCATTTGACAAAATCCAGCATCCATTTATGATTAAAACTCTCAGAAAAATCGGCATAAAAGGGACATATCTCAATGTAATAAAAGCCATCTATGACAAACCCATAGCCAATATTATATCGAACAGAGAAATGTTGGAAGCATTCCCCCTGAGAACTGGAACAATGCAAGTATGCCCACTCTCACCACTTCTATTCAACGTAGTACTGGAAGTCCTAGCCAGAATAATCAAACAAGAGAAAGAAATGAAGGACATCCAAATAAATACAGAAGTCAAAATATCGCTGCTCACTGATGATATGATCATATAACTAGAAAACCCTAAAGAGACATTTAAAAAGCTCCTAGAACTGATAAATAAAAATTTCAGGATAAAAAATCAATGTACACAAGTCTGCTATACGCCACCAACGACCAAGCTGTGAATCAAAACAAGAACTCAACCGCTTTACAACAGTTGCAAAAAAAAAAAAAAAAAGTACTTAGAAATATACCTAATCAAGGAGGTGAAAGACCTCTACAAAGAAAACTACAAAACATGGTTGAAAGAAATTATAAATGACACACACTAATGAAAACACATTCCATGCTCATGGATGAGTAGAGTCAATATTGTGAAAATGACCATACTGTCAAAAACAATCTACAAATTCAATACAACTCTCACCTAATTACCAACATCGTTCTTCACGGAAGTAGAAGAAACAATCCTAAAATTCATATGGAACCATAAAGAGCCTGAAAAGCCAAAGTAAGACGAAGCCAAAGAAACAAATTTGGAGGCATCACATTACCTGACTTCAAACAATACTATAAGGCTATAGTCACCAAAACAGCACAGTACTGGTATAAAAATAGGCATGTAGACCAATGGAACTAAATAGAGAACTCAAAAATGAAGGCAAATACAGCCAACTGATCTCTGACAAAGCAAGCAAAAATCATAAAGTGGGAAAAGGACACCCTTTCAACAAATGATGCTAGGATAATAGGCAAGCCATATGTACAAGAATGAAACTGGATCCTCATCTATCACCTTATACAACAGTCAATGCAAGATGGATCAAATACTTAAATCTAACACCTGAAACCATAAGAATTCTAGAAGATAAGATAGGAAATATCCTTCTAGACATTGACTTAGGCAAAAACTTTATGACCAAGAATCCAAAAGTAAATGCAACAAAAACAAAATTAAATAGATGAGGCATAATTAAACTAAAATTTTCTGCACAGAAAATAATCAGTAAACAGACAATCCACAGAGTGGGAGGAAATCTTTGCAAACTCAGTATCCAACAAAAAAACTAATATCCAAAATCTACAAGGAACTCAAACAAATCAGCAAGAAAAAAAATTTCATCAAAAAGTGAGCAAAGGACATGAATAGACAATTCTCAATAAAAGATATAGAAATGGTCAGCAAACATATGAAAAAATGCTCTACACCACCAATGATCAGGGAACTGCAAATTAAAACCACAATGTGATACCACCTCACTCCTGCAAGAATGGCCATTAAAAAAAAAATAGATGTTGATATGGATGTGGTTAAAAAGGAACACTTTTACACTGCTGGTGGGAGTGTAAACTAGTACAACAACTATAAAAAGCAGTAAGAAGATTTCTTAAAGAACTAAAAGTAGAACTATTATTTGATCCAGCAATTCTACTACTGGGTATCTACCTAAAGGAAAATGTCATTATATAAAAAAGACACTTACACATACATGTTTATAGCAGTACAATTTGCAACTTCAAAAATATGAAACCAGCCTAACTGCCCACCAACTAATGAGTGAATAAAGAAAATGTGATATATATAGGCATTCACAGCAACCTGGATGGAACTGGAGACCCTTATTCTAACTGAAGTAACTCAGGAATGGAAAACCAAATATTGTATGTTCTCACTTATGAGTAGGAGCTAAGCTATGAGGATGCAAATGCATAAGACTGATATAATGTGGACTTCGGGGACTCGGGGTAAGAATGGGATGGAGGTAAGAAATAAAAGACTACACATTGGGTACAGTGTACACAGCTCAGGTGACTGGTGCACCAAAATCTCAGAAATCAACACAAAGAACTTATCCATGGAGCCAAAAAACACATGTTCCCCAGAACTTTTAAAATAAAACTTTGATTTATCAACTGTACACAAGTGTACCATACTAATATATAAGGGGAAGCTGAATGTAGCATATGTAGGTACTCTGTACCATCTTGACAACATCTCTGAAAATCTAAAATTATTAAAAAATAAAGTTCATTTATTAATTAACTAAAAATTGGTATATGTAAATAGTACCTTCTCAGTAATCATGTTAGATGTGAGTGAAATAAAGGCTTCAATCAAAAGGTAAATTTCAGTAGAATGAACTTTAAAAATGTGATTCAATTGTATGCTGTCAAAAAGAGACAGATTTAGCCAAAAAAAAAGAAAAAAAAGTAAAAATAGGTTGCAAGTAAAAGGAGGGGGAAACTTACCAAGCAAACATAAACTAAAAAACAGCTGAAGTGACTATACTATTACAGACAAAATACACATTAGTAAACAAAAATCACATAGAGCCAAAGGAAGGCATTTTATAATGACAAAAGTTAATTACTGAAGAAGACATAAAAACTTACCTGGACCTAGCAACGGAGTTCAAAAAATATATAAAGTAAATTATGGTAAATTGAAAGAAATAATAGACAATTTAACAATAATTGAAGACTTCAGTATACCACTTTCCCACAAGGACAAGAACAGCAGACAGATCAACAAAGAAATAGAATAATTAAATAACACTATGATTAAACTACACATATGTAAAACACTCATTAAAAAACAAACATTCTTCTCAGGTGCACACAGAGCATTCTTTGGAATAGAAATGAGGCAAGAAAATAGGGTGTGGAGGCAGGGAACATAAAGCTGATTCACACTTCAGCTATACAGTATATATCCTTTCCATAGGCCGTATGCAGTAAATGACTTTGTAACTTTACTTCATCCTCTCCATTTACATAGGACATACGCAAAGTAACCAATGCAATCATCTAGGTGGTATTTAAACTCCCAAAAATTCTGTAATGTTGCCCTTGAGTCCTTATGCTTGGGCTTGCTCCCACATTGTGGAGTGTACTTCAATTTTTCAATAAATCCCTACGTTCCTTCCTTGCTTTGTGTGTTTTGTCCAGTTCTTTGTTCGAGATGCCAAGAACCTGGACACCCTCCACCATAACATATTTTGGCGAGCCAGCCAGGAGGAAGAGGAAATCCCAAAGTTAGGGTTTCACTAAAGTTTTAGAGTACTAAGGATAAAATTCTAGTTAACAAGTAATTCTGTATTTAATAATGTGTCAGAAAGAATTACTTTATTAGTGGAAAAAGGGATAATTTTGTCTAAATCAGAAGTTATCTAAAGGTTAGTTCAAATTACAGATTTTAAAAGGTTATTTATGATACAATGTGGTAAGAAACCGTTAAGTAGGGGAGAAAGATGTGTAAAAGTTTAAAAATATAATATTATTTAAAACCTAATAAAGAATTGGAGACATTTGGCTAATTAACATTTTCATAGTTAAAGCTCTTAGTCTTGATTAAAGTAAAATAAAAAGTATTGTACAGATGCATCAGCAGCTTGGCAATTTTTTAAATATAGTTAAGCATGAAGCTGGATTTAGAGTAAAGCCAAATTTCACATACATACTTGCGTTACTTCACACTGTGTTTACTGTTTTGCATGGATAGTGTAGAGTACTTGTTGGTTATGTGCCTAAAGTGAATTTGTTAATTCCACAGGATGTATAATAATATTGGTAAACTTAAGGTATGAAATTGTGTAACAGAAATAGAATATACATTGTGTGTGTTTTGGGGGGGCCCTGTGTAACTCTGTAGCCTCCAGGGTAAATTGAGTATGAAAATTTAGGGTTGGTTTCTCTTTGTTTTTGCTTCTAGTTTTCACTTGTTTGCTGTTTATTCTCTTCTGGCTTTGCTTGGGTATCCATATATATAAAACCATGATGCTTTTTACTCTCTAGTGAAAGGCTTTTATTTGGTTCTTTGAATAATTATTTTGTTTCCTTTGCATTTCTACCAAGTCATCATTCATTCCATTTATCTGGAATTCTTAAGTTACCTTTGTTAGGCCCACAGGAAATAGTGGAGCATACAGGCTTTCTATTCTTAAACTAACTTCTTGAATTTTAGGCTTCCTGATACTTTAAGTGTACTGAGCATACTTAAAATTTGAATCATATTTCTCTCTCTGCAAAATTACTCCAAAATGTTTAAACTATTTGTAAAAATTTTGAATTCATTAACAATTTAATTCATTCTAATTAAATTCTTAATTTATGCAATGTGTTTGCTTCCATACAGTCATGAAGGATTGCTTGGGCTACTCAGAAAGAAAGAAACCTGAAACTCAGCACACAAGGAAAAGAATAAAAATTTCTTACCATTCTGTCTCTTACCTATTTCTTGCATGCAAGCTGGTTAAATATAAAGTAGAAATCACTGTTTATCCCTGCTATATAGTTTTAAATTAATTGGTTTAATAAATAATAAGAGATTAAATAAAATATTTTGTCAAAAAGTTAGAAAATCTAATGCTTTTTTTTATACTTAAGTTCTGGGATGCATGTGCAGAATGTGCAGGTTTGTTACATAGGTATATGCGTGATATGGTGGTTTGTTGCACCCATCAACCTGTCGTCTACATTAGGTATTTCTCCTAATGCTATCCTTCCCCTAGCCCCCAACCCCCTGACAGGCCCCACTGTGTGATGTTCCCCTCCCTGTATCCATGCGTTCTCATTGTTCAACTCCCACTTATGAGTGAGAACATGTGGTGCTTAGTTTTCTGATTCTGTGTTAGTTTGCTGAGAATGATGGTTTCCAGGTTCATCCATGTTCCTGCAAAGGACATGAACTCATACATTTTATGGCTGCATAGTATTCTATGGTGTATATGTGCCACATTTTTCTTATCCTGTCTATCACAGATGGGCATTTGGGTTGGTTACAAGTCTTTCCTATTGTGAACAGTGCAGCCATAAACATACGCATGCATATGTCTTTATAGTAGAATTATTTATAATTCCCTGGGTATATACTCAGTGGTGGAATTGCTGGGTCAAATGGTATTTCTAGTTGCAGTTCCTTGAGGAATCACCACACTGTCTTCCACAATGGTTGAACTAACTTACACTCCCACCAACAGTGTAAAAGTGTTCCTATTTCTCCACATCCTCTCCAGCATCTGTTGTTTCCTGACTTTTTAATAATCGCCATTCTAACTGGCATGAGATGGTATCTCATTGTGATTTTGATTTACATTTCTCTAATGACCAGTGATGATGAGCTTTTTTTCATATGTTTGTTGGCAGCATAAATGTCTTCTTTTGAGATATGTCTGGTCATATCCTTCTCTCACTTTTTGATGGGGTTGTTTTTTTCTTGTAAATTTGTTTAATTTTGTCTTAGATTCTGGATCTTAGCCCTTTGTCAGGTGGATAAATTGCAAAAATTTTCTCCCATTCTGTAGGTTGCCTGTTCATTCTGATGATAGTTTCTCTTGCTGTGCAGAAGCTCTTTAGTTTAAATCGATCCCATTTGTCAATTTTGGCTTTTGTTGCCATTACTTTTGATGTTTTAGTCATGAAGTCTTTGCCCATTCCTATGTCCTGAATGGTATTGCCTAAGATTTCTTCTAGAGCTTTTATGGTTTTAGGCCTTACATTTAAGTCTTTAATTCGTCTTGAGTTACTTTTTTATAAATTGTAAAGAATAGGCCCAGTTTCATTTTTTCACATAAGGCTAGCCAGTTTTCCCTACACCGTTTATTAAATAAGGAATCTTTCCCCATTGCTTGTTTTTGTCAGGTTTGTCAAAGATCAGATGGTTGTACATGTGTGGCACTATTTCTGAGGCCTCTGTTCTGTTCTATTAGTCTATATATCACTTTTGGTACTAGTACTATACTGTTTTGGTTACTGTAGCCTTGCAGTATACTTTGAAGTCAGGTAGCATGATGCCTCCAGCTTTGTTTTTTTGCTTAGGATTTTCTTGGCTCTACGGGCTCTTTTTTGGTTCCATATGAAATTTAAAGTAGTTTTATCTAATTCTTTTAAGAAAGTCAGTGGTAGATTGATGGGAATAGCAGTGAATCTATAAATTACTTTGGGCAGGAAGGCCATTTTCATGATATTAATTTTTACTATCCATGAGCATGGAATATTTTTCTATTTGTTTCTGTCCTCTCTTAATTCCTTGAGCAGTGGTTTGTAGTTCTCCTTGAAGAGGTCACTCACATCCGCTGTAAGTTGTATTCCTAGGTATTTTATTCTCTTTGTAGCAATTATGAATGGGAGTTCACTCATGACTTGGCTCTCTGTTTACCTATTATTGGTGTATAAGAATGCTTGTGATTTTTTCACATTGATTTTGTATCCTGATACTTTGCTGAAGTTGCTTATCAGCTTAAGGAGATTTTGGGCTGAGACGATGGGGTTTTCTAAATGTACAATCATGTCATCTGCAGACAGAGAAAATTTGACTTCCTCTGTTCCTATTTGAATACCCTTTCTTTCCTTCTCTTGGCTGATTGCCCTGGCCAGAACTTCCAAGACTATGTTGAATAAGAGTGGTGAGAGAGGGCATCCTTGTCTTGGGCCGATTTTCAAAGAGAATGCTTCCAGGTTTTGCCCATTCAGTATAATATTGGCCGTGGGTTTGTCATAAACAGCTCTTATTATTTTGAGATATGTTCCATCAATACCTAGTTTATTGAGGGTATTTAGCATGAAGGGGTGTTGAATTTTATGGAAGGCCTTTTCTGCATCTATTGAGATTATCATGTGGTTTTTGTCATTGGTTCTGTGTTATGGATTACATTTATTGATTTGTGTAGGTTGAACCAGGCTAGCATCCAAGGGTTGAAGCCGACTTGATCATGGTGGTTAAGATTTTCATGTGCTGCTGGATTCGATTTACCAGTATTTTATACAGGATTTGTACATTGATGTTTCTTAGGGATATTCCCCTGAAATTTCTTTTTTTTTTTTATTGTGTCTCTGGCAGGTTTTGGTATCAGGATGATGCTGGTCTTATAAAATGAGTTAGGGAGGAGCCCCTCATTTTCTATTGTTTGGAGTAGTTTTAGAAGTAATGGTTCCAGCTCCTCTTTGTACCTCTGGTAGAAGTTGGCTGTGAATCCATCTGGTCCTGGGTTTTTTTTTTTTTTTTTTTTTTTTAGTTGGTAAGCTATTAATTACTGCCTCAATTTCAGAACTTGTTATTGGTCTATTCAGATTCGACTTCTTCCTGATTCAGTCTTGGGGGGTGGGTGTATGTGTTCAGCAATTTATCCATTTCTTCTATATTTCCTAGTTTATTTGGGTAGAGGTGTTTATAGTATTATTTGGTGGTAGTTTATATTTATCTGGGATCTGTGGTAATATCCACTTTATTATTTTTATTGTGTCTATTTCATTCTTCTCTCTTTTCATCTTCATTAGCCTAGCTAGCAGTCTCTTTTGTTAATCTTTTCAAAAAAGCAGCTCTTGGGTTCATTGATTTTTTGAAGGGATTTTATGTCTATCTTTTTCAGTTCTGCTCTGATCTTAGTTATTTATTGTCTTCTGCTAGCTTTTGAATTTGTTTGCTTTTGCTTCTCTAGTTCTTTTAATTGTGATGTTAGAGTGTCACTTTTAGATCTTTCCCACTTTCTCCTGTGGGCATTTACTGCTATAAATTTTCCTCTAAACACTGCTGTAGCTGTGTCTCAGGGATTCTGTTACATTGTGTCTTTGTTCTCATTTGTTTCAAAGAACTTATTTATTTCTTCCTTAATTTCGTTATTTACCCAGTAGTCATTCAGGAACAGGTTGTTCAGTTTCCATGTAACTGTGCGGTTTTGGGTGAGTTTATTAATGCTGGGCTCTAATTTGCACTGTGGTCTGAGAGACTGTTATAATTTCCCTTCTTTTGCATTTGCTGAGCAGTGTTTTACTTCCAATTATGGGGTCAATTTTAGAATAAATGCAATGTAGTTTGGAGGAGAATGTATATTCTGTTGATTTGTGGTGGAGAGTCCTGTAGGTGTTTATTAAATCCCTTTTGTCCAGAGTTGAGTTAAAGTCTTGAATATTCTTGTTAATTTTCTGTCTCATTGATCAGTCTAATATTGACAGTGGGGTGTTAAAGTCTCCCACTGTTATTGTATGGGAGTATAAATCTCTTCATAGATCTCTAAGAATTTGCTCTATGAATCTGGATGCTCCTCTATTAAGTGCATATATTTTTAAGATAGCTCTTCTTGTTGCATTGATCCCTTTATAATTATGTGATGCTTTGTCTTTTTTGATCTTTGTTGGTTTAAAGTCTGTTTTATCAGAGACTAGAATTGCAACCCCCGCTTTTTTTTTTTTTTGTTTCCATTTGCTTGGTAAATATTCCTTCATCCCTTTATTTTGAGCCCATGTGTGTCTTTGCACGTGAGATGGGTCTCCTGATTACAGCACATTGATGGGTCTTGACTATCCAATTTGCCAGTCTGTGTCTTTTAATTTGGGCATTTAGCCTGCTTACATTTAAGGTTAATATTTTGATCCCGTCATTGTGATGCTAGCTGGTTATTTTGCCCATTAGTTGATGCAGTTTTTTCATAGTGTTGATGGTCTTTAAAATTTGGTATGTTTTTGCAGTGGCTGCTACCGGTTGTTCTTTCCATGTTTAATTCTTCCTTCTGGAGCTGTTCTAAGGCAGGCATGGTGGTGACAAATTTTTCTGCATTTGCTTGTCTGTAAAGGATTTTTTTTTTCTTCTTTGCTTATGAAGCTTATTTGGCTGGATTTGAAATTCTGGGTTGCAAATTCTTTTCTTTAAGAATGTTGAATATTGGCCCCATGCTCTTCTGCAGAGAAATTCACTATTAGTCTGATGGGCTTCCCTTTGCGGGTGACTCAACGTTTCTCTCTGGCTGCCCTTAACATTTTTTCCTTCATTTCAACCTTGGTGAATCTGACAAGTGTCTTGGGGTCGCTCTTCTCAAGGAGTATCTTTGTGGTGTTCTCAGTATTTTTCAAATTTGAATGTTGTCCCGTCTTGCTAGGTTGGGTGATTTCTCCTGGATAATATCCTGAAGGGTGTTTTCCAACTTGGTTCCATTCTTCCCATCACTTTCAGGCACACCAGTCAAATGTATTTTTTGTTTTGTTTTGTTTTGTTTCTTTTTTTTTTCACATAGTCCCATATTTCTTGGAGGCTTTGTTCATTCCTTTTCATTCTTTTTTCTTCAGTCTTGTCTTCCCGCTTTATTTCATTAAGTTGATCTTCAATCTTTAATATCCTTTCTTCTGCTTGATCAATTTGGCTCTTGATATTGTCTATGCTTCACGAAGTTCTCATGCTGTGTTTTTCAGGTTATTTATGTTTTTCTCTAAACTGGTTATTCTAGTTAGTAATTCTTTTAACATTTTTTCAAGTTTCTTAGCGTCCTTGCATTGGGTTAGTACATGCTGTTTAATCTTGGAGGAGTTTGCTATTATCTACCTTCTGAACTACTTCTGTCAATTTGTCAAACTCATTCTCTGTCCAGTTTTGTTCCCTTGTTGCCAAGGAGTTATGATCCTTTGGAGAAAAGGAGGCATTCTGGTTTTTGGAAATTTCAGTTTTTTTGCACTGTTTTTTTTCTCATCTTCATGGATTTATGTAGCTTTGGTCTTTGATGATGGTGACCTTTGGATGGGGTTTCTGTGTAAACTTTTTTTTGTTGATGTTGATGCTATTCCTTTCAGTTTGTTAGTTTTCCTTCTAACGGTCAGGCCCCTCTGCTGCAGGTCTGCTGGAGTTTGCTGGGAGTCCAGTCCAGAACCTGTTTGCTTGGGTATCACCAGCGGAGGCTGCAAAACAGCAAAGTTTTCTGCCTGTTCCTTCCTCTGGAAGCTTTATCGCAGAGAGGCACCTACCAGATGCCAACTAGAGCTCTCCTGTATGAGGTGTCTGTCGACCCCTACTGGGAGGTGTCTTTCAGTCAGGATGCACGGGTTTCAGGGTCGCACTTGAGGAGGCAGTCTGTACCTTAGCAGAGCTTCAGCACTGTCCTGGGAGATTTACTGCTCTCTTCAGAGCTGGCAAGAGGAAAGTTTAAGTCTGCTGAAGCTGCACCTACATCCAGCCCTTGCCCCAGGTGCTCTATACTAGGGAGATGACAGTTTTATTTATAAGCCCCTGACTGGGGCTGCTGCCTTTCTTCCAGAGATGTCCTGCCCAGAGAGAAAGAATCTAGAGAGGCAGTCTGGCTACAGTGGCTTTGCAGAGCTGAGGTGGGCTCTGCCCAGTTCAATCTTATTAGAGGGTTTGTTTACACCGTGAGGGGAAAACTGCCTACTGAAGCCTCAGTTATGGCAGACATCCCTCCTCCCACCAACTTGTAGCATCCCAGGTTGACTTCAGGCTGCTGTGCTGGCAGTGAAAATTTCAAGCCAGTGGATCTTAGCTTGCAGGGCTCCATGGGGGTGGGAATTGCTGAGCTAGACCACTTGGCTCCCTGGCTTCAGTGTCCTTTCCAAGGGAGTAGGCAGTTCTGTCTCACTGGCATTCTGGGAGCCACTGGGGTATGAAAAAAAACTCCTGCAGCTAGCTTGTTGTCTGGCCAAACGGCTGAACAGTTTTGTGCTTGAAACCCAGGGCCCTGGTGGCATAGACACCTGAGGGAATCTCCTGTTCTGCGGGTTGCAAAGACTGTGGGAAATGTGTAGTTTCTGGACTGGAATGCTCTGTTCCTCACAGCACATTCCCTCAAGGCTTCCCTTGGTTAGGGGAGGGAGTTCCTCGATCCCTTTCACTTCCCAGGTGAGGTGGCACACCACCCTGTTTCAACTCACCCTCTATGGGCTTCACCCACTGTCTAACCAGTCCCAATGAGATGAGCTGTGTACCTCAGTTGGAAATGCAGAAATGACTCACCTTCTGCGTTGATCTCACTGGGAGCTGTTGCTATTCATCCATCTTGCAAGCCACCCCATTTACCCACATTTTAGAAAATGTAATGCCTTTTAGTTCACGTGACTATAGTAATCTTTGGGTAATAACGATGGTTATAAATATTGTTGGTAAAACACAATTTTCTTCAAAATGTAAACATGTGGTCTAAATTATGTTCAAATA
This sequence comes from Homo sapiens, assembly GCF_000001405.40. Lineage (NCBI taxonomy): Eukaryota > Metazoa > Chordata > Mammalia > Primates > Hominidae > Homo > Homo sapiens. The sequence goes on along the minus strand of NC_000023.11, from coordinate 76,379,270 downwards.
ATAGGTATGATAAATGCTTTAGGGTCATAAACTGCTTCTTTGGCTTTTGAAAATTGTTTAGATTGCCTGCTTTTCAGCTAAGTAAAGCCTGTGGATGTGCAGAGTTGGCCATACCCCTAGCTATGCTGGAAATTGTCAAATATTATCAGAATATAACTTACCAGAATTTACATTAAAGTTCACCATTTTAACATATAATCAAGACAACTAGAAACAGTTTTACATGCAAGGTGTGTAAGAGCAATAGAATATGTTTCTTATTTTGTAAACGGTTATAAATGCTTTTTACTTCTTTAAAATTTTTTAGTCATCATTTTGGCAAAATAAATAATTTACGGTAATTTGGAATTCCAAAATCAAATGTCAGTTTCAAAATTCTCTTTTTTAATGCCTGACTTTTTAGGATGAATCAGAGGGCCTGTGAAAACATCCAGAAAAGAGGTAAACGGATTATTTAAAGTGCTTAGGTACATAGGATTGCCAAAATGATGTTCAATCTTCTTTAGTTTGTATTTTTGTGAATAATACTAAAATATGTTCCAAAACTGTATAGAATGTCTAAAATTCTAATACTTTAGTATAGTTATTATGTTAAGTTATTCTAAACCACAGAAATAACCAAATTTCCTTGTATAAGGCTACTAACTGAAGTAAAACAAAAATTAATTAAGTACCAAGAAAATGCTTTGTCAAAGCTGGATGGAGAATGACTTTGACAAGCTGAGAGAAGAAGGCTTCAGACGATCAAATTACTCTGAGCTACGGGAGGACATTCAAACCAAAGGCAAAGAAGTTGAAAACATTGAAAAAAATTTAGAAGAATGTATAACTAGAATAATCAATACAGAGAAGTGCTTAAAGGAGCTGATGGAGCTGAAAACCAAGGCTCGAGAACTACGTGAAGAATGCAGAAGCCTCAAGAGCCGATGCGATCAACTGGAAGAAAGGGTACCAGCGATGGAAGATGAAATGAATGAAATGAAGTGAGAAGGGAAGTCTAGAGAAAAAAGAATAAAAAGAAATGAGCAAAGCCTCCAAGAAATATGGGACTATGTGAAAAGACCAAATCTATGTCTGATTGGTGTACCTGAAAGTGATGGGGAGAATGGAACCAAGTTGGAAAACACTCTGCAGGATATTATCCAGGAGAACTTCCACAATCTAGCAAGGCAGGCCAACGTTCAGATTCAGAAAATACAGAGAACACCACAAAGATACTCCCCGAGAAGAGCAACTCCAAGACACATAATTGTCAGATTCACCAAAGTTGAAATGAAGGAAAAAATGTTAAGGGCAGCCAGAGAGAAAGGTCAGGTTACCCTCAAAGGGAAGCCCATCAGACTAACAACGGATCTCTCGGCAGAAACCCTACAAGCCAGAAGAGAGTGGGGGCCTATATTCAACACTCTTAAAGAAAAGAATTTTCAACCCAGAATTTCATATCCAGCCAAACTAAGCTTCATAAGTGAAGGAGAAATCAAATACTTTACAGACAAGCAAATGCTGAGAGATTTTGTCACCACCAGGCCTGCCTTACAAGAGCTCCTGAAGGAAGTGCTAAACATGGAAAGGAACAAACAGTACCAGCTGCTGCAAAATCATGCCAAAATGTAAAGACAATCGAGACTAGGAAGAAACTGCATCAACTAACGAGCAAAATAACCAGCTAACATCTTAATGACAGGATCAAATTCACACATAACAATATTAACTTTAAATGTAACTGGACTAAATGCTCCAATTAAAAGACATAGACTGGCAAATTGGATAAAGAGCCAAGACCCATCAGTGTGCTGTATTCAGGAAACCCATCTCAACTGCAAAGGCACACATAGGCTGAAAATAAAAGGATGGAGGAAGATCTACCAAGCAAATGGAAAACAAAAAAAGGCAGGGGTTGCAATCCTAGTCTCGGATAAAACAGACTTTAAACCAGCAAAGATCAAAAGAGACAAAGAAGGCCATTACATAATGGTAAAGGGATCAATTCAACAAGAAGAGCTAACTATCCTAAATATATATGCACCCAATACAGGAGCACCCAGATTCATAAAGCAAGTCCTGAGTGACCTACAAAGAGACTTAGACTCCCACACATTAATAATGGGAGACTTTAACACCCCACTCTCAACATTAGACAGATCAACGAGACAGAAAGTTAACAAGGATACCCAGGAATTGAACTCAGCTCTGCACCAAGCGGACCTAATAGACATCTACAGAATTCTCTACCCCAAATCAACAGAATATACATTTTTTTTTCAGCACCACACCACACCTATTCGAAAATTGACCACATACTGGGAAGTAAAGCTCTCCTCAGCAAATGTAAAAGAACAGAAATTATAACAAACTATCTCTCAGACCACAGTGCAATCAAACTAGAATTCAGGATTAAGAATCTCACTCAAAACCGCTCAACTACATGGAAACTGAACAACCTGCTCCTGAATGACTACTGGATACATAACGAAATGAAGGCAGAAATAACGATGTTCCTTGAAACCAACGCAAACAAAGACACAACATACCAGAATCTCTGGGACACATTCAAAGCAGTGTGTAGAGGGAAATTTATAGCACTAAATGCCCACAAGAGAAAGCAGGAAAGATCCAAAATTGACACCCTAACATCACAATTGAAAGAACTAGAAAAGCAAGAGCAAACACATTCAAAAGCTAGCAGAAGGCAAGAAATAACTAAAATCAGAGCAGAACTGAAGGAAATAGAGACACAAAAAACCCTTCAAAAAATTAATGAATCCAGGAGCTGGTTCTTTGAAAGGATCAACAAAATTGATAGACCGCTAGCAAGACTAATAAAGAAAAAAAGAGGGAAGAATCAAATAGACACAACAAAAAATGATAAAGGGGATATCACCACCGATCCCACAGAAATACAAACTACCATCAGGGAATACTACAAACACCTCTACGCAAATAAACTAGAAAATCTAGAAGAAATGGATAAATTCCTGGACACATACACCCTCCCAAGACTAAACCAGGAAGAAGTTGAATCTCTGAATAGACCAATAACAGGAGCTGAAATAGTGGCAATAATCAATAGCTTACCAATCAAAAAGAGTCCAGGACCAGATGGATTCACGGCCGAATTCTACCAAAGGTACAAGGAGGAACTGGTACCATTCCTTCTGAAACTATTCCAATCAATAGAAAAAGAGGGAATCCTCCCTAACTCATTTTATGAGGCCAGCATCATTCTGATACCAAAGCCAGGCAGAGACACAACAAAAAAAGAGAATTTTAGACCAATATCCTTGATGAACATTGATGCAAAAATCCTCAATAAAATACTGGCAAACTGAATCCAGCAGCACATCAAAAAGCTTATCCACCATGATCAAGTGGGCTTCATCCCTGGGATGCAAGGCTGGTTCAATATACGCAAATCAATAAATGTAATCCAGCATATAAACAGAGCCAAAGACAAAAACCACATGATTATCTCAATAGATGCAGAAAAAGCCTTTGACGAAATTCAACAACCCTTCATGCTAAAAATTCTCAATAAATTAGGTATTGATGGGACGTATTTCAAAATAATAAGAGCTATCTATGACAAACCCACAGCCAATATCATGCTGAATGGGCAAAAACTGGAAGCATTCCCTTTGAAAACTGGCACAAGACAGGGATGCCCTCTCTCACCACTCCTATTCAACATACTGTTGGAAGTTCTGGCCAGGGCAATTAGGCAGGAGAAGGAAATAAAGGGTTTTCAATTAGGAAAAGAAGAAGTCAAATTGTCCCTGTTTGCAGACGACATGATTGTATATCTAGAAAACCCCATTGTCTCAGCCCAAAATCTCCTTAAGCTGATAAGCAACTTCAGCAAAGTCTCAGGATACAAAATCAATGTACAAAAATCACAAGCATTCTTATACACCAACAACAGACAAACAGAGAGCCAAATCATGAGTGAACTCCCATTCACAATTGCTTCAAAGAGAATTAAATACCTAGGAATCCAACTTACAAGGGACGTGAAGGACCTCTTCAAGGAGAACTACAAACCACTGCTCAAGGAAATAAAAGAGGATACAAACAAATGGAAGAACATTCCATGCTCATGGGTAGGAAGAATCAATCTTGTGAAAATGGCCATACTGCCCAAGGTAATTTACAGATTCAATGCCATCCCCATCAAGCTACCAATGACTTTCTTCACAGAATTGGAAAAAACTACTTTAAAGTTCATATGGAACCAAAAAAGAGCCCGCATTGCCAAGTCAATCCTAAGCCAAAAGAACAAAGCTGGAGGCATCACACTACCTGACTTCAAACTATACTACAAGGCTACAGTAACCAAAACAGCATGGTACTGGTACCAGAACAGAGATATAGATCAATGGAACAGAACAGAGCCCTCAGAAATAACGCCACATATCTACAACTATCTGATCTTTGACAAACCTGACAAAAACAAGCAATGGGGAAAGCATTCCCTATTTAATAAATGGTGCTGGGAAAACTGGCTAGCCATATGTAGAAAGCTGAAACTGGATCCCTTCCTTACACCTTATACAAAAATCAATTCAAGATGGATTAAAGACTTAAATGTTAGACCTAAAACCATAAAAACCCTAGAAGAAAACCTAGGCATTACCATTCAGGACATAGGCATGGGCAAGGACTTCATGTCTAAAACACCAAAAGCAATGGCAACAAAAGCCAAAATTGACAAATGGGATCTAATTCAACTAAAGAGCTTCTGCACAGCAAAAGAAACTACCATCAGAGTGAACAGGCAACCTACAAAATGGGAGAATATTTTCACAGCCTACTCATCTGACAAAGGGCTAATATCCAGAATCTACAATGAACTCAAACAAATTTACAAGAAAAAAACAAACAACCCCATCAAAAAGTGGGCGAAGGACATGAACAGACACTTCTCAAAAGAAGACATTTATGCAGCCAAAAAACACATGAAAAAGTGCTCATCATCACTGGCCATCAGAGAAATGCAAATCAAAACCACAATGAGATACCATCTCACACCAGTTAGAATGGCAATCATTAAAAAGTCAGGAAACAACAGGTACTGGAGAGGATGTGGAGAAATAGGAACACTTTTACACTGTTGGTGGGACTGTAAACTAGTTCAACCATTGTGGAAGTCAGTGTGGCGACTCCTCAGGGATCTAGAACTGGAAATACCATTTGACCCAGCCATCCCATTACTGGGTAAATACCCAAAGGACTATAAATCATGCTGCTATAAAGACACATGCACACGTATGTTTATTGCGGCATTATTCACAATAGCAAAGACTTGGAACCAACCCAAATGTCCAACAATGATAGACTGGAATAAGAAAATGTGGCACATATACACCATGGAATACTATGCAGACATAAAAAATGACGAGTTCATGTCCTTTGTAGGGACATGGATGAAATTGGAAATCATCATTCTCAGTAAACTATCGCAAGAACAAAAAACCAAACACCAAATATTCTCACTCATAGGTGGGAACTGAACAATGAGATCACATGGACACAGGAAGGGGAATATCACACTCTGAGGACTGTTGTGGGGTGGTGGGAGGGGGGAGGGATAGCATCGGGAGATATACCTAATGCTTGATGACGAGTTAGTGGGTGCAGCGCACCAGCATGGCACATGTATACATATGTAACTAACCTGCACAATGTGCACATGTACCCTAAAACTTAAAAGTATAATTAAAAAAAAAAAAAGAAAATGCTTTGTCAGATTTTCATGTTAATCCAGCTGATACTGAAATTGTTTAAAATAGGTTATAACCATGCTTGCTCCCATATTCCTGGGAAGACAATTAAATCTTCAGGTACATTTTGTCACCTGGTGGGCCATTTAAACATTTTATAAAGGAATTTCATTCAATTGTTATTTTCACTGCAGGTTTTCTGGTTGTATAAAAGCTTTCCCATTCAAGAGGGCTGATGTTATAACAGTAAATTATTATGCTACAGTATATTTTCACCAGGTAATTAAAGCTTTTTATGGTTTGAATTTTTTGGAAACATCAGAGAAAGAATTGTCCTTGCCATCCACACTACAACAAATCTTCAGGACCTTGGGCTTTGGGTTCATGGTCTAACAACTGAGAAGGGCCCCACCACAGTTTTGGAACTGTGCACCACTGGAACCTTTGATGTAAAGCTAACAAGGGAAATTTCTCCCAGGAAAAAGATGGCATCCTTCATGTGAACAGCTTTTCCCAAGTTCACAGATTAAGACTTCTACTATTATGAAACTCTTATCTTTGAATATTTTTTTTGTGATTATTCTTCTATGAACAATAGAAGTGGACAAGGGGTTTGTTATATGCACTAATGGGGTGTACCTTTATTTGTGAATGAATTTTCAGTCAGCTTTATACAAGGATTCCCTTATACTTTGACAGATAAAAGATGACAGCCCAATCTAGGCAAGAAACTTTAATGGTACATACGTTGCATCATAATCAGTCAAAAACAAAACATTGGTTTACTTCTCTTAACCCTCATAATGGGTTAAAGAGAACATTGTCAGGAGACCTTCACTATTCTAGAAGGGCATCATTTGGTAAGTCCTTTTTCCTTGGTTTAGAATAAAAGAAACAGTGAATAGAAATGTATCTCCCATGATAGGCTCTATAGGAAATTCTACTGTAAAGGCTACAGCTACACAATAGCCTTAAAATCTCTTGTGAAAGTTATGATAAAATTCACTGAACAGAGAAGTATCTGTGCAGCCACTGGCACTTGTGGCCTATAAGGAAATACATCAAATAAAGATTACAAAAATTCAGTGATAGGGGATTAACAAAGAGACTACTTAAGTAAGTAAACTTTCATTATTTAACTCTTTTTTTAATCTATTTGATTTTAGGAGGTTTGGTTTATTGGGACCTTGGATAAGGAGCATATTCTGAACTCTTGGTATTATCCTCCCAATAGTCATAATAATAGTCTCCCTGGTGCACTGTATTCTCTCAAAGGTTTTAAATGATTGCATGCAGCCATCTCTAGAATGTCATATGGCCTCTCTTCAACTGGAATGACAGGAGCTTAAAGAAATGTGTAACCATGAGGACACCATAACCTATAAATGACTTGCTGAGACCAGAAACCCAAAATGATGGCAACTGAGATTGGCGCTAGGGCCCTAACTTAGCGCTAGGGCACTAAGTGAGAGTGTGACCAAAAAAGGGGGAATTTTTCAAACAAAATTCTAGGAGGCCATTGCTTTGAACTAAACTCAAGCGCTAAGCCCCTGCAGATCAAATCAAACCAAAACGGAGTCATTTATGCTAAGACTTTAAGGAAACACATAGATTCTAGAACAGACCACGTTTTGTTTTTTTCTCCTGCAAATTACTATGACAAACATTTCTGAGAACATTGGTATCCACCCTCTGAAGTTCCCATTAAATCTTTTAACCAAATTTATTTCCTCTCACTAGATACTGTCAAGTTTCAGATGATCATTCAACAAAGGTTCCAGCCAGGTACAGGCGAAGACATCATCCCTGGCCATCAAGAAGCTACCCTGCCTCCACTGGATAGAGCAGTTCGGTGATCCCCGGTAGGTAGGGACTATGTCCCGAGCCAGCATGAAGAAGCTACAGAAAAAGGACAATAGGTCCATCTGCCTCCCATAAAGATTCATTGTAAATAACATCTCTCAGGGGGGAGATGAGGCAGGAAATAGGGTCTGGAGGCATAAAACATAAGGCCAATTCACACTTCAGCTATAACAGGAAATATCCTCTTCATAGGATGTAAACCGTAAATGAGTTTGTCACTTTACTTCATCCTCTCCATTTACATAGGGCATACCCAAAGTAACCAATTGAATCCTCTGGGGGGCTATTTAAACTCCCCCAAATTTTGTAATGCAGCCTTTGAGCCCTTATGCTCGGGCCCACTCCCACACTGTGGAGTGTACTTCCATTTTGCAATAAATCTCTTCATTCCTTCCTTACTTTGTTTGTGTGTTTTGTCCAATACTTCGTTCAAGATGCCAAGAACCTGGACACCCTCCACCATTAACAGACAGGCTATAAAACAAGTCTCAATACATTTAAATAAATTAAAATCATCCCAGCTGGTATCTGAACACATTGTAATAAAACTAGAACTCAACTTAAAAAATGTATGGAATTTAAGCAACACCTGTCTAAATAACCAAGGAGAAAAGAAGAAATCACAAGAAAAATTAGAAATTACTTCCAGATAAGTAAAGAGGGAAAGAAAACATAACACAATGTAGGAAATGAAGCGAAAGCAGTGCTTAGGGGGTAAATTTATACCTCAAAATAGCCATAATGAAGGAGAAGAAAAATATTGTATCAATATTTTAAACTTTCACCTTAATAAATTACTAAAAAAACAGGACACTAAACCTAAAACATGCAGAAAGAAGAAAATCAGAAACGCTATGGAAGAAATAAATAAACTAGATAATAGAGAAAAATTAACAAAATTAAAAGTTGATTGTTTAAAATTATCAACAAAATTCACAAAAATTTAGCCTAGTCAAAAAAATAAATGAAAGAAAGAAACAAAGGAAAGATTCAATATCAACTTGACAAAAATAAAAAGGAAGACCTTCAGAGGGAAGGCGTTGAGAGTAGACGGAAGGAAGACTCAGATGCTGGGCTGAAGTGGGAGGAAGCTAGGAACCCTGAATGGGGCTACCACACACCAGGACTCATTCTTAGCACCCAGTGACTTCTGGGGAAGGGGTGAGTTGAGCAAGCAAGGAGCAACCTGTTCTCACCATGGGCCTCTGGAAACCTGCCAGCAGAAGACTCCACAACACCAACAGACACTTGAGCTGTCAGGGATTTCTGCTTAGAAAAGTGGTTGGGACATAACTCCATCTAATGCAGAGCCCAGAAGATTTGGTGTTTGAGTGTCTGTCGGGGGGCATGATAGGAAACACTCATCCCCCAAGGCTTGCCTTGCTTTTTTAGGAGACTTTAACCCAAGGGAAACTGTTGGGCCTGAACAGTGAAGAGCAGTCTTGCCCACAAGATAAAGCTGGCCTAGGTTGCAAAAATTTTCTCCCATTTTGTAGGTTGCCTGTTCACTCTGACGGTAGTTTCTTTTGCTGTGCAGAAGTTCTTTAGTTTAATTAGATCCCATTTGTCAATTTTAGCTTTTGTTGCCATTGCTTTTGGTGTTTTAGACATGAAGTCCTTGCCCATGCCTATGTCCTAAATGGTATTGCCTAGGTTTTCTTCTAGGGTTTTTATGGTTTTAGGTCTAACATGTAAGTCTTTAATCCGTCTTTTTTTAATTTTCTTATTATGCTGAAATTTATTAAAGACTATTGCTTTGACTGCAGAATATGTTTAAATATTTTGTGGAAGGCAAAGTTTTCATTCAGGAATGACAAGTGCAAGGAATGTCATTCTTTTTTCGTATTTTTTATTTTATTATTATTATACTTTAAGTTTTAGGGTACATGCACACAATGTGCAGGTTAGTTACATATGCATATATGTGCCATGCTGGTGTGCTGCACCCATTAACTCGTCATTTAGCATTAGGTATACCTCCTAAAGCTATCCCTCCCCCCTCCCGCCACCACACAACTGTCCCCAGGGTGTGATGTTCCCCTTCCTATGTCCATGTGTTCTCATTGTTCAATTCCCACTTATGAGTGAGAAGATGCGGTGTTTGGTTTTCTGTTCTTGCAATAGTTTACTGAGAATGTTGTTTTCCATCTTGAATTAATTTTTGTATAATGTGTAAGGAAGGGATCCAGTTTCAGCTTTCTACATATGGCTAGGAGGTTTTCCCAGCACCGTTTATTAAATATGGAATCCTTTTCCCATTGCTTGTTTTTGTCAGGTTTGTCAAAGATCAGATGGTTGTAGATATGCGGCATTATTTCTGAGGGCTCTGTTCTGTTCCATTGATCTATATCTCTGTTTTGATACCAGGACCATGCTGTTTTGGTTACTGGAGCCTTGTAGTATATTTTGAAGTCAGGTAGTGTGATGCTTCCAGCTTTGTTCTTTTGACTTAGGATTGACTTGGCAATGTGGGCTCTTTTTTGGTTCCATATGAACTTTAAAGTAGTTTTTTCCAATTCTGTGAAGAAAGTCATTGGTAGCTTGATGGGGATGGCATTGAATCTATAAATTACCTTGGGCAGTATGGCCATTTTCACGATATTGATTCTTCCTACCCATGAGCACGGAATGTTCTTCCATTTGTTTGTATCCTCTTTTATTTCATTGAGCAGTGGTTTGTAGTTTTCCTTAAAGAGGTCCTTCACATCCCTTGTAAGTTGGATTTTTAGGTATTTTATTCTATTTGAAGCAATTGTGAATGGGAGTTCCCTCATGATTTGGCTCTCTGTTTGTCTGTTATTGGTGTATAAGAATGCTTGTGATTTTTTCACATTGATTTTGTATCCTGAGACTTTGCTGAAGTGTCTTATCTGCTTAAGGAGATTTTGGGCTGAGGCAATGGGGTTTTCTAGATTTACAATCATGTCATCTGCAAACAGGGACAATTTGACTTCCTCTTTTCCTAATTGGATACCCTTTATTTCCTTCTCCTGCCTAATTGCCCTGGCCAGCACTTCCACCACTATGTTGAATAGGAGTGGTGAGAAAGGTCATCCTTGTCTTGTGCCAGTTTTCAAAGGAAATGCTTCCAGTTTTTTCCCATTCAGTATGATATTGGCTGTGAGTTTGTCATAGGTAGCTCTTATTATTTTGAGATACATCCCATCAATACCTAATTTATTGAGAGTTTTTAGCATGAAGGGTTGCTGAATTTTGCAGAATCTACAATGAACTCAAACAAATTTACAAGAAAAAAACAAAAAACCCCATCGAAAAGTGGGCAAAGGATACAAAGAGACACTTCTTAAAAGAAGACATTTATGCAGCCAAAAAACACATGAAAAAATATTCATCATCACTGGCCATCAGACAAATGCAAATCAAAACCACAATGAGATACCATCTCATACCAGTTAGAATGGCGATCATTAAAAAGTCAGGAAACAACAGGTGCTGGAGAGGATGTGGAGAAATAGGAATGCTTTTACACGGTTGGTGGCACTGTAAACTAGTTCAACCACTGTGGAAGTCAGTGTGGCGATTCCTCAGGGATCTAGAACTAGAAATACCATTTGACCCAGCCATCCCATTACTGGGTATATACCCAAAGGATTATAAATCATGCTGCCATAAAGACATATGCACACGTATGTTTATTGTGGCACTATTCACAATAGCAACGACCTGGAACCAACCCAAATGTCCAACAATGATAGACTGGATTAAGAAAATGTGGCACATATACACCATGGAATACTATGCAGCCATAAAAAATGATGAGTTCATGTCCTTTGTAGGGACATGGATGAAACTGGAAACCATCATTCTCAGCAAACTCTCTCAAGGACAAAAAACCAAACACCTCATGTTCTCACTCATAGGTGGGAATTGAACAATGAGAACACATGGACACAGGAAGGGGAACATCACACTCTGGGGACTGTTGTGGGGTGGGGGCAGGGGGGAGGGATAGCATTAGGAGACATACCTAATATTAAATGACGAGTTAATGGGTGCAGCACACCAACATGGCACATATATACGTATGTAACAAACCTGCACATTGTGCACATGTACCCTAAAACTTAAAGTATAATAATAAAATAAAAATAAAAAAATAAAAAAAAGAACTGACATCTTCAAAAAAAAAAAAGCTGATCTAAGCTGAGCACCCCTTGTTTAGCTGGCTTCTTCCAGTGCCTCAGCCTGCCCATGTCTGTTTGCACTGCAGCCTCAGGTGCCCAAGTGGGGTAACTCCTTGGGGCCCATATTGTAGCTCCTGAGCTGGCAGACCATACTTGAATACTTGATCAGCCGAGAGCTTCAGTAGTGCACTCTCACAGAAGTGCATAAGCCTGATCATGCCCTTTCCACATTGCTGCCTTCCCCAAGCCACTTTGCCTGCATCCACTCACCCAAGGCCACACTTCACATCACTTTGCTGGTGTGTGGGCATGCGGGCAAACCTTGCTTCCACTTCTCCACCAGCACACATGTGCTTGATCACCCCAGTGTGCCACCGCTACCGGCATAGTGCACCCCGACCCCCAAAACTCCTGCCATGCCACCATTGCTGTCAGAGCATTTGTGAGCATGGAGACCATCAGCCTTGTGCTGACCAGTGCCCTGCCCATCTGTGATACTGCTGCTCATGCAAAACTATGCAGGAACCAGCAGGACCTCCCTCATTCCTAGTGACAGGTGCCACCCATATAAATGCATGCATAGAGGGAACAGTCCCACACCTGTCATTATCTAGCCCCCGTACTAACACCACCACTATTGCAAACAAAAACAGACACTGGCAGGGCCCCCCCATGCCATGCTGCCACTGCTGCCACTGTGAATGCCCACACAGAGGCCAGGAAACCTTCACCCATCAGCACTTTGCTAATCCCAAGGAGTGTGCACCCAGCCTCACTGTTGCTGCTGCTGGCATGTGCAAATACAGACGGATCCTGCTACCACCATTCTATGAAGCACTGTGGCTGGCACCATCTTTTGGATTATTGTGACCAGCAGTCCAGAAACAACTCAGCCCAGCCAGCATGAGAGTTTGCTAACCTCCAGGGGCAACAGAACAAAGCTAGAGGTCTAATACAAGTCCCCAGAGTGACAACACACAGTCTGGGAGTCCTCAGCTGAGCGTTGGCCCGCTAAAATTCTCCAGAAACAAATTAAGTTGACTAAACCCACCTTACACCACAATCAAACACCCAAGGACATTGAATACTATAAAAGAAAAAAATTCCAAAGATTAACAACTTCAAAGATTGCTGGAATAAAAACCCCCCAAAATGAGAAAGAACCAGCACAAAAACTCTGCCAACTCAAAAAGCCAGAATGTCTTTTTCCCTCCAAACACCTGCACTATTTTGCAGCAAGGGTTTCTAACCACACTGAGATGGCTGAAATGATAAAAATAGAATTCAGAATATAGATAGAAATGAAGGTCACAGGCATAAAGGATAAAATGAAAAAAAATCCAAGGAATCTAAAGATTACAATAAAATAATACAGGATCTTATAGGTGAAATGGCTCGTTATAAGAAAGAACCAAACAAATCTGATAGAGCTGAAAAACATTCTAAAAAAATTTCATAATGCAATGGCAAGTATTAACAGCATAATTTACCAATCTGAGGAAAGAATCTAAGAGCTTGGAAACTGGTTCTATGAAATAACTCACTCAGAGAAAAATAAAGAAAAAACAATAAAGAAGAATAAACAAAACCTTCAAGAAATATAGAATTATGTAGAGACCAAATCTACAATTCATGGGCATGTCTGAGAGACAGAGAGAGAAATCAAGCAAGTTGGAAAACATATAGGATATTGTCCATGGAAAAATTTTCCAACCTCATTAGAATGGCCAACAGTTAAATTCAGGAGATGCAGAGAATCCCAAGGTCAAAATGAAATATATACATATGAACTAGAGACAAAAGGCAGGTCACCTACAAAGGGAATCTCATTAGGCTAATAACAAACCTGTCAGCAGAAATTCTATAAGCCAGAATATAGCCAGAAAAGATTACAGGCCTATAGTCAGCATTTGTGGAAAAAAAAAAAAAAAAAGATTCCCTATTTACTAAATGGTGTTGGGAAAACTGGCTAGCCATATGCAGAAAACTGAAACTGGGCCCCATCCTTACACCTTATACAAAAATTACCTTAAGATGGATTAAAGACTTAAACATAAGACCTAAAACCATAAAACTTCTAGAAGAAAGCCTAGGCAATATCATTCAGGACATAGGCATGGGCAAAGACTTTATGTCTAAAACACCAAAAGCAATGGCAACAAAAGCCAAAATTGACAAATGGGGTCTAATTAAACTAAAGAGCTTCTGCACAGCAAAAGGAACTGTCATCAGAGTGAACAGCCAACCTACAGAATGGGAGAAAATTTTTGCAATCTATTCACCTGACAAAGGGCTAATATCCAGAATCTACAAAGAACTTAAACAAATTTATAAGAAAAACACTACCCCATAAAAAAGGGGGCAAAGGATATGAAAAGACACTTCTCAAAAGAAGACATTTATGCAGCTGTCGAACACATGAAAAAATACTCATCATCCCTGGTCATTAGAGAAATGCAAACCAAAACCACAATGAGATACCATCTCATGCCAGTTAGAATGGCAATCATTTAAAAGTCAGGAAACAACAGATGCTGGAGACGATGTGGAGAAATAGGAACACTTTTACACTGTTGGTGGGAGAGTAAATTAGTTCAACCATTGTGGAAGACAGTGTGGTGTTTCCTCAAGGATCTAGAACTAGAAATACCATTTGACCCAGCAATCTCATTACTGGGTATATACCCAAAGGATTATAAATCATTCTACTATAAAGACACATGCACACGTATGATTATTGTGGCACTATTCACAATAGCAAAGACTTGGAACCAACCCAAATGCTCAACAATGATAGACTGGACTAAGAAAATATGGCACATATACACCATGGAATATTATGCAGCTATAAAAAAGAATAAGTGTGTGTCCTTTGCAGAGACATAGATGAAGCTGGAAACCGTCATTCTCAGCAAACTATCACAAGAACAGAAAAGCAAACACCGCATGTTCTCACTCATAAGTGGGAGTTGAACAATGAGAACACATGGACACAGGAAGGGGAACATCACACACCAGGGCTTGTCGGGGGGTGGGGGCTAGGGGAGAGATAGCATTATAAGAAATAATTAATGTCGGTGACGGATTGATGGGTGCAGCAAACCGCCATGGCATGTGTATACCTATGTAACAAAACTGCAAGTTCTGCACATGTAACTCAGAACTTAAAGTATAACAATAATAAAAATTTAAAAAAATACAAAATAAATTGTTCAACCAATAATTTTATGTCCAGCCCAACTGGGATTTATAAGTGAAGGATAAATAAGATGCTTTTAAGAAAAGCAAATTATAAGACAATTAGTTACCATCAGACCTGCCTTACAAGTGGTCTTGAATGAAGTGCTAAATATGAAAAGGAGATACCATTATCAGCCACTACAAAAACACACTGAAGTACATAAACCATTACCATTATAAAGCAACCACACAAACAAGTCTGCCTAATCACCAGCTAACAATTGGTTTAAATCCGCATATATCAATACTAACCTTGAATGTAAACAGACTAAATGTCTCAATTGAAAAGCACAGAGTGGCAAGTTTGAAGGAAACAATACCCAGTGGTATGATTTCTTCAAGAGATCCATCTCACATGCAATGACACCCACAGGCTGAAAGTAAAGGAATAGAGAATAATCTACCAAGCAAACAGAAAACAGAAAATAACAGGGGTTGCTATTCTAATTTCAGAAAAAAAAACAACTTTAAACTAACAAACATATTAAAAAGACAAGGAAGAGCATTACATAATTCTAAGAAAATCACTCAAAACCACACAATTAAAAAAATTAAACAACTTGCTCCTGATTTACTTCTGGGTAAATAATAAAAATTAAAGCCGAAATCAAGACAGTTTTTGAAACTAATGAGAATCAAGATACAACACACCAGATTCTCAGAAACAGCCAAAACGATGTTAAGAGGAAAGGTTATGGTACTAAACACTCACATCAAAAAGTTAAAAAGATTTCAAATTAACAACATAACATTGCATCTAGAGGAACTAGGGAAACAAGAGAAAAGTAACTCCAAATCTAACAGAATACAAGAAATAACAAAAATTAGAGCTGACCTGAAGGAAATTGAGACATGAAAAAACATACAAGAGGTCGATGAATTCAGAAGCTTGTTTTTTTTTGAAAATCTAAGAAACTTAGACCACTAGCTAGATTAACTATTCAAAAAAGAGTGAAGATCCAAATAAACACAATTACAAGTGACAAAGGGAATATTACCACTGACCTTACCGAAATAAAAAACCCTTGGAGACCATTATGAACTTCTCTATACACACAAACCATAAGACATGGAAGAAATTGATATATTCTTTGAAATACACAACCTTCTAAGATTAAACCAAGAAGAGATTAAATCCCTGAACAGACCAATAATGAGTTCTGCCTACCAACCAGAAAAATCCCAAGACCAGATGGATTCAGAGATAAATTCCACCAGATGTACAAAAAAGAGCTGGTACTATTCCTACGGAAACTAAGTCAAAAAATCGAGGAAGGGAGACTCCTTTCCAACTCATTCTATGAGGCCAGCATCATCCTGATATCAAAACCTGGCAGACACACCACACACACACACACACACACACACACACACACAACACACAAATTAGAGGCCAATACCCTTGATAAACATGGATGCTAAAATACTCAACAAAATACTAGCAAACCGAATCCAGCAGCACATTAAAAAGCTAATGTACCACTATCAAGTAGGCTTCATCCCCAGGATGCAAGTTTGGATGAACATACACAAATCGATAAATGTTATCCACTGCATAAACAGAACTGAAAACAAAAACCACATCATTATCTCGATAGATGCAGAAGAGGCTTTCAATAAAATTCAGCATCCCTTGATTTTAAAAACCCTAAACAAACTAGGCATTGAAGAAACATACTTTAATAAAAGCCATCTATGACAAACCCACAGCCAACATATACTGAATGGACAAAAGTTAGTAGCATTCCCCTTGCAAACTGAAACAAGGACAGGACATCTTCTCTCACCACATCTATTCAACATAGTACAAAAAGGCCTAGCCAGAACAGGACATCTAAATAGGAAGAGAGAAAGCCAAACTCTCCTTGTTTGCAGACAATATCATTCTGTACCTAGAAAACCCTATAGTCTCTGTTCCAAAGCTTCTTGATACAGTGCATAACTTCAACAAAATTTCAGAATGCAAAATCAACGTACAAAAATCAGTAGCATTTCCATACACCAACAACATCCAAGCTGAGAGCCAAACCAAGAATGCAATCCCATTCACAATAACCACAAAAAGAATAAAATACTTAGAAATATACCGAACTAAGAAAGTAAAAGATCTTTACAACAATGCCCATAAGAGAAAGCAGGAGAGATCTAAAATCAACACCCTAACATCAGAATTAAAATAACTAGAAAAGCAAGAGCAAACAAATTCAAAAGCTAGCAGAAGGCAAGAAATAACTAAGATCAGAGCATAACTGAAGAAGATAGAGACATGTAAAAAAAAAAAAAGTCAAAAAAATCAATAAATCCAAGAGCAGGTTTTTTGGAAAAATCAACTAAATAGATAGACCATTAGCCAGAATAATAACGAAGAAAAGAGAAGACTCAAATAGAAGCAATAAAAAATGATATAGGGAATATCACCATTGATCCCAAAGAAATGCAAACTACCTTCAGAGAATACTATAGACATCTCTATGCAAATAAACTGGAAAATCTAGAAGAAATGGATAAATTCCTGGACACATACACCATCCCAAGGCTAAACAAGGAAGAAGTTGAATCTCTGAATAGACCAATAACAGATTCAGAAATTGAGGCAATAATTAATAAGTGACCAACAGAAAAAGTCCAGGATCAGGTAGATTCACAGCTAAATTGTACCAGAGGTATGAAGAGAAGCTAGTACCATTCCTTCTGAAGCTATTCCGATCAATAGAAAGAGAGGGAATCCACCCTAACTCATTTTATGAGGCCAGCATCATCCTGATAACACAGCCGGTCAGAGACACAACAAAAAAAGAGAATTTTAGACCAATATCCCTGATGAACATCAGTGCAAAAATCCTCAATACAATACTGGCAAACCGAAACCAGCAGCACATCCAAAAGCTTATCCAACACGATCAAGTCAGCTTCATCCCTGGCCTGCAAGGCTGGTTCAACTTATGCAAGTCAATAAATGTAATCTATCACATAAACAGAACCAACAATAAAAACCACATGATTATCTAAATAGATGCAGAAAAGGGCTTCGACAAAATTCAACAGCCTTTCATGGTAAAAACTCTGAATAAGCTAGGTATCGATGGAACATATCTCAACATAATAAGAGCTATTTATGACAAACCTACAGCCAATATCATACTCAATGGGCAAAAACTGGAAGCATTCCATTTGAAAACTGGCACAAGACAAGAATGCCCTCTCTTACCACTCTTATTCAACATAGTCTTGGAAATTCTGGCCAGGGTAATCAGGCAAGAGAAATAAATAAAGCGTATTCAAATAGGAAGAGAGGAAGTCAAATTGTCCCTGTTTGCAGATGACATGATTGTATATTTAGAAAACCCCATCTTCTCAGCCCCAAATCTCCTTAAGCTGATAAGCAACTTCAGCAAAATCTCAGGATACAAAATCAATGTGCAAAAATCACAAGCATTCCTACACACCAATAACAGACAAACAGAGAGCCAAATCATGAGTGAACTCCCATTCTCAATTGCTACTAAGAGGATAAAATACCTAGGAAACCAACTTACAAGGGATGTGAGGGACCTCTTCAAGGAGAACTACAAATCACTGCTCAAGGAAATAAGAGAGGACACAAACAAATGGAAAAATATTCCATGTTCATTGATAGTAAAAATTAATATCATGAAAATGGCATTCCTGCCCATAGTAATTTACAGATTCAATGCTATCCTCATCAAGCTACCACTGACTTTCTTCACAGAATTGGAAAAAAACTACTTTAAAGTTCATATGGAACCAAAAAAGGGCCCACATAGCCAAGACAATCCTAAGTCAAAAGAACAAAGCTGGAGGCATCATGCTACCTGACTTCAAAGTATACTACAAGGCTACAGTAACCAAAACAGCATGGTACTGGTACCAAAAGAGATATATAGACCAATGGAACAGAACAAAGGCCTCAGAAATAGCACCACACATCTACAACCATCTGATTTTTTTACAAACCTGACAAAAACAAGCAATGGGGAAAAGATTCCCTATATAATAAGTGGTGCTGGGAAAACTGGCTAGCCATATGTAGAAAGCTGAAACTGGATTCGTTCCTTACACCAAATACAAAAATTAACTCAAGATGGAGTAAAGGCTTAAATATAAGACCTAACACCATAAAAATTCTACAAGAAAACCTAGGCAGCACCGTTCAAGACATAGGCAAGGGCAAAGACTTTATGTCCAAAATACCAAAAGCAATGGCAAAAAAGCCAAAATTGACAAATGAGATCTAATTAAACTAAAGAGCTTCTGCACAGCAAAAGAAACCATCATCAGACTGAACAGCCAACCTACAGAATGGGAGAAAAATTTTGCAATCTATCCACCTGACAAAGGGCTAATATCCAGAATCTACAAAGAACTTAAACAAATTTACAGGAAAAAAACAACCCCATCAAAAAGGGGGCAAATGATATGGAAAGACACTTCTCAAAAGAAGACATTTATGCAGCCATCGAACACTTGAAAAAATACTCATCATCACTGGTCATTAGAGAAATGCAAACCAAAACCACAATGAGATACCATCTCATGCTAGTTAGAATGGCGATCATTAAAAAGTCAGGAAACAACAGATGCTGGAGAGGATGTGGATAAATAGGAATGCTTTTACACTGTTTGTGGGAGTGTAAATTAGTTCAACCATTGTGGAAGACAGTGTAGTGATTCCTCAAGGATCTAGAACTAGAAATACCATTTGACCCAGTGATCCCATTACTACGTATATACCCAAAGGATTATAAATCATCCTATAAAGACACATGCACACGCATGTTTATTGTGGCATTATTCACAATAGCAAAGACTTGGAACCAACCCAAATGCCCATCAATGATAGACTGGATTAAGAAAATGTGGCATATATGCAGCATGGAATAATATGCAGCCATAAAAAAGGATGAGTTCATGTTTTTTTGCAAGGACATGGATGAAGCTGGAAACCATCATTCTAAGCAAACTATCACAAGAACAGAGTTCTTGTGATATATTCTCATTCATGTTCTCACCCATGTTCTCACTCATAGGTGGGAGTTCAACAATGAGAACACATGGACACAGGGCAGGGAACATCACACACAGGGGCCTGTCGGTGGGTGGGGTGCTGGGGGAGCGATAGCATTACGAGAAATACCTAAAGCAAATGACAAGTTGATGGGTGCAGCAAACCAACATGGCACGTGTATACCTATGTAACAAACCTGCACGTTGTGCACATGTACCCTAGAAGTTAAAGTACAATAAAACAAAAACAGACACACTGTCTAATAGAACAGAATATAGAATTCCAAATAAAATCGATACATCTACAGTGAACTCATTTTTGACAAACATGCCAAAAACATACATAGAAGAAAGGACAGTTTCTTTGGTTAATAGTGCTGGGAAAACTGGATATCCATAATCAGAGGGAAGAAAGTAGACTCTTATCTCTCACTATATATAAAAGCAAAATAAAAATGGATTAAACTCTTAC
Organism: Homo sapiens; assembly: GCF_000001405.40. Lineage (NCBI taxonomy): Eukaryota > Metazoa > Chordata > Mammalia > Primates > Hominidae > Homo > Homo sapiens. Next base: position 76,358,808 of record NC_000023.11, on the reverse strand, counting down.
ATTAAAGACCTCAAACTATGAAACTATTGAAAGAAGACGTTGGAGAAACTCTCCAGGAAATTAGACTGGGCTAAAATTTTCTGAGTAATACCCCACAAACACAGCCAACCAAAGCAAAAATGGACAAATGGGATACCATCAAGTTAAAAATCTTCTGCACAGCAAAAGAAATAATCAAAAAAGTGAAGAACAAACCCACAGAATAGGAGAAAACGTTGGCAAATTATCCATCTGAAAAGGCATTAATAACCAGAATATATAAGGAACTCAAACACTCAATATGAAAGAATTTATTTCTCTAATTAAAAATGGGCAAAAAATCTGAATAGACATTTCTCAAAGAAAACATACAAATGGCAAACAGGTATACCAAAAGGTGCTCAACATCACTAATCATCAGAGAATTGTAAATCAAAACTACAATGAGGTTTTCTCACCCCTCTCAAAATGATTTTTATTCAAAAAACAGGCAGTAACAACTGCTGGCAAAGATGTGGAGAAAAGGGAACATTTGTACACTGTGGGCATGTAAATTAGTACAGCTACTATAGAGAACAGTTTGGACTTTCCTCAGAAAACTAAAAATAGAACTACCATATGATCCAACAATCTGACTGCAAAATCTGTATCCCAAATTTAAAAAAAAATAGTATATTAAATAGATATCGGAACTCCCATATTTATTGCAGCATAATGGACAACAGTCAAGTGTGGAAGCAACTTAAGTGTTCATAAACAGACAGATGGATAAGGAAATTGTGTTACATATACACAATGGAATACTATCCAGCCATAAAAAATGAGATTCTGTCATTTGCAACTACGTGGATAAAATTGAAGGACATTATGTTATGTAAAATAAGCCATGCACTGAAAGACAAATTTGCATATTTCCACTCATTTGTAGGAGCTAAAAATTAAAACAATTGAACTCACGAAGATATAGAGCAGAATGATGGTTACTGGAAACTGGGAAGCAAAGTGGGTGGGAGAAAAAGAGGATGGTTAATAAGTATCAAAATAGAATGAATAAGATCTAGTATGTAACAGCACAACAAGGTAATTACAGTCAATAAAAAGTTATTACACATTTCTTTTTCTGTATCTTTTGGAATAGTTTCAGTAGAATTAGTATCAGTTCTTCTTTGGATATCTAGTAGAATTCAGCTTTGAATTCATTTGGCCCTGGCCTTTATTTGTTGGCAATATTTTATTTAGTGATTAAATCTCAGTGCTTGTTATTGATCCGTTCAGGGCTTCTATTTTTTCCTGTTTTAATTCGGGAGGATTATATGTTTCTAAGAATTTATCCATTTTGTCTAGATTTTCTAGTTTATGCATGTATAGATATTAATAACATTCTTGAAAGATCTTTTGCATTTTTTGATATCCATTGTAATATCTCCAGTTTCATTTCTAATTGAGCTTATTTGGATCGTTTCTCTTCTGTTGGTTATTTTGCTAATGGTCTACCAATTTTGTTTATGCTTTCAAAGAACAAGTATTTTAATTATCTTTTGTCTTCCTTTTTTGTTTCAATTTTATTTAGCTCTGCTCTGATCTTTGTTACTTCTTTCCTTTGCTCGCTTTGGGTTAATTTTCTCTTGTTTCTGTTTTTTTGAGGCATGACATTGAGTTGTCAATCTGTCCTTTTTCAGACATTTTGATGTCAGAATTTAACACAGTGAGTTTTCCACTTTGCACTGCTTATGTTGTATCCCAGAGGTATAAATAATTTGTGTCACAATTATTAATTTCAAAAAATTTTTAAATTTTTATCCTGATTTTTTTTGTTAACCCAAAACTCATTTAAGAACAGATTATTTAATTTCTATGTAGTTGTACAGTTTTATGTATTGCTGTTAAAGTTGATTTCCAGTTCTATTTCACTGTAGTCTGAGAAGATACTTTGATATAATTTTGATTTTTCTAAATTTATTGAGACTTGTTTTGTGGCCTGCTCTATGGTCTACCTTGGAGAATGTTCCATGTTCTAATGAAAAGAATGTGTATTCTGCAGTTTTTTGGGGAAAATGTTCTGTAAATATATAAGTCCATTTGTTCTAGGACATGTTTAAGTCTATTGTTTCTTAGTTGACTTTCTTTCTTGAAGATCTGTCTAGTGCTGTCAGTGGAGTATTGAAGTAACTCACTATTATTGTGTTGCTGTCTCTTTCATTTCTTAGGTCTAGTAGTTATTGTTTTATAAATCTGGTAGCTCCAATATGAGGTTCATTTAAATTTATGATTGTAATATATTCTCTTTGAACTGATCCTTTTATAATTGTATAATGCCCTTTTTTTTAACTGTCATTGATTTAACGTCTGTTTAGTCTCAGAATAGTTACTTCTCTTTGCTTTCTGTTTCCATTTGAATTGAATATTTTTTCCCCAATCCTTTTCCTTGAGTTTATACGAATCCTTATGTCAGGTGAGTCTCTTGAAGACAGAAGATATTTGGTAGGTGGATTTTTATCCATTCTCCCATTCTGTATTTTTTTAAATGTAGCATTTAGGTCATTTACATTCAATGTCAATATTGAGGTGCGAGGTACTATTCTATTCATCATATTAGTTGTTACCTAATTAATTTTTTTCATTGTGTTATTGTTGTATAGTCCTTGTGAGTTTTAGACTTTTAGTAGGTTCTACTTTGCTGCATATTGGGCTGTTGCTTCAGGATTTAAAACTTCTTTTAGCATTTCTCTTTTTTAATTTTTTATTTCAATATTTTTTTTGGAAAACTGGTGTTGTTTGGTTACAAGAATAAATTATTTAGTCGTGACTTCTGAGATTTTGGTGCACCCATCACCTGAGCAGTGTACACTGTATCCAAGGTGCAGTCTTTTATCCCTCATTGCCCCCCACTCTTTCTCCTGAGTCCCCACAGTCTAATGTATCATTCTTATGCCTTTGCATTCTCATAACTTAGCTTGTGTATATGAGTGAGAACATACAATGTTTGGTTTTCTATTCCTGAATTACTTCACTTAGAATAATGGTCTCCAATTCCATCCAGGTTGCTGGGAATGCCATTATTTCACTACATTTTGAGCAGTATTTGATGGGATATATATACCATATTTTCTTTATCCACTCATTCATTGATGGGCATCTGGGATGGTTTCGTATTTTTGCAATTGCAAATTGTGCTGCTATAAACATGCATGTGCAAGTATCTTTTTCATAAAATAATTCCTTTTCCTTTGGATACATGACTGGTAGTGGGATTGCTGGGTCAAATTGTAGATCTACTTTTAGTTCTTAAAGGAACTGCTACACTATTTTCGATAGTGGTTGTATTAGTTTACATTTCCACAAACAGCGTAAAAGTGTTCTCTCCACCATATCCACGCCAACACCTATTTTTTTCTTAATTTTTGATTATGGCCATTCCTACAGGAGTGAGATGGTATCGCATTATGTTTTGAATTGCATTTCCTGATAATTAGTGATGTTGAGCATTTTTTAATATGCTTCTTGGCCATTTGTATATCTTCTTTTAAGAGTTGTCTATTCATGTCCTTTGCCCACATTTTGAATGGGATTGTTTGCTTATTCCTTGCTGATTTGTTTGAGTTCTTTGTAGATTTTGAATATTAGTCCTACGTTGAATGTATAGATTGTGAAAATTTCTCCCACTCTGTGGGTTGTATATTAACTCTGCTGATTATTTCTTTTGCTGTGCAGAAACTTTTTAGTTTAAATCCAATCTATTTATCTTTGTTTTTGTTGCATTTGCTTTTAAATTCTTGGTCATGAAGACTTTGCCTAAGCCAATGTCTAGAAGAATTTTTCTGATGCTATTTTCTAAAATCTTTATGGTTTCAGGTCTTAGATTTAAGTATTTGATTCACTTTGAGTTTATTTTTGTATAAGATGAGAAATGAGGATTTAGTTTCATTCTTCTACATGTAGCTTGCCAATTATCTCAGCACCATTCACTGAATAAAGTATCCTTTCCCCACTTTGTCTTTTTGTTTGCTTTGTCAAAGATCTGTTGGCTGTAAGCATTTGGCTTTATTTCTGGGTTCTCTATTCCATTCCATTGGTCTATGTGCCTATTTTAATACCAGTACTACTTTGTTTTGGTGACTGTAGACTTGTAGTTATTTTAAAGTTGAGGAATGTGATGCCTCCAGCTTTGTTCTTTTTGCTTAGTCTTGCTTTGGCTATGTGGCATCTTTTTTGGTTCCACATGAATTTTAGGATTGTTCTTTCTAGTTCTGTGAACAATTATCGTGGTATTTTGATGGGAATTGCATTGAATTTTTAGATTGCTTTTGGCAGTATTGTCATTTTCACAATATTGATTCTACCCATCCATGAGCATGAGCTGTGTTTCCATTAGTTTGTGTCATTTATAATTTCATTCAGCAGTGTTTTGTAGTTTGTTATTTAGAAATCTTTTACCTCCTTGGTTAGGTATATTCCTAAGTATTCTATTTCCAGTTCTCAGAGGGAATGTTTTCAATTTTTCTCCATTCAGTATAATATTGGCTGTGGCTTTGTCATAGATGCCTTTGAACTAAATGCTCCACATAAAAGATATAGAATGGCAAAATAGATAAGAATTCACCAACCAAGTATCTGCTGTCTTCAGGAGACTCATCTAACACAAGGAATCACAGGAAGCAGACTATCTTTGGGTCCTTGGTTGTGTTTCTGTTTAGTATGCTGGCTTTATGTTGGTTGGCCTCCAGTCAGAATGTGGCACTTTCAAGAGTGCATCAGCTGCAGTCCTATAGAGATGATGAAAACTTGCCCTACAGATGCCTGGTTAAGTATTTAGGTTTCTCATGCAGTGGACAGGGCCACAGAGCTTCCAAGAGATTATGACCTTTGTCTTTCACTGCCAGAGCAGGTAGAGAAAGACCATCAGATAAGGGCAGGGATAGGCATGTCTGAGCTCAGTCTCTCCTTGAGTGGGGCTTGCCCCATCCGCTGTGGGGGATGGGAGTGTGGTTCCCAGTCCAATGGAGTTATATTCCCAGGATCTTATGGCTGCCTTTGCTGAGTCATACAGGTCATCAGGAAATTAGGGGAAAGCTGGCAGTCACAGGCCTCACCTTGCTCCCGTGCAGCCCACAGTCCTAAAGACCAGTCTCATTCCCATCATGCCCCCGCAAAAGCATGGAGTCTATTTCGAGGCAGCTGGTAATCACAGCTGAGAACCTGCAACAGACCATGAGCCTCCCTGTTGAGAAAGCTACCAGACTCACAGTTTTTCAGCATCTCAGGACACCTGCAGCAGTGATCCAGTTTCTTCAAAGGGTCTGTGGATTCTCTTGGCTTTCCTGGTATGTTCCTGCAGTAGTTCTTGGAGCAAAAGTTTATGATGTAAGTCTCCACATGCTGTTCTGTCCATCTCAGAGGGAGATGCAAGCTAGTCCTGCCTCCTATCCACCACCTTAATCCTTCTTTTATAATTTCTTATAGTACTGGTTTGGTAGTGACAAATTTCCTCCACATTTTTTGTCTGTAAAAGACTATCTCTCCTTCATTTATGAAGCTCAGTTTTACCAGATATAAAATTACTGGCTGATAATTATTCTGTTTAAGTAGGCTCAAGATAGAACCCCACTCTCTTCTAGCTTGTAAAGCTACTGCTGGAAAGTCCACTGTTAGTTAGTTTTATATATATATTCAAGTTGCCTGATGCTTTTGTCTCACAGCTTCTAGAATGCTTTCTTTTATGTTGACTTTAGATAGATTGATGACTATGTGCTTTGGTAATCTTTTTGCAATAAATTTCTCAGGGATTCTTAGAGCTTCTTATATTTGGATATCTAAATCTCTATCGAAGCCAAGGAAATTTTCCTGAATTATTCCCTCAAACATGTTTTCCAAACTTTTAGCTTTTTCTTCCTCAGGAACACCAATAATTCTTAGGGTTGGCCATTTTACATAACCCCATATTTCTTAGAGACTCTGTTCATTTCTTTTGATTATTTCTTTTTTATCTTTGTGTGATTGGGTTAATTTGAAAGCCTGGTCATCAAGCTCTGAAATTCTTTCTTCTACTTGTTCTAGTCTATTTTTGAAGATTTCCACCATACTTTGTGTTTTTATAAGTGTGTCTTTCATTTCCAAATGTTCTGAATGGTTTTTGTTTATGATATCTATCTCTCTGGAAATTTTAAAATATTTATACTGATTTTTTTTTAATTCTATATGTTGATTTTCACCTTGCTCTGGTATCTCTTTGACTAGCTTACTAATTAAATTTCTGAATTTTTTATCTGGTACTTCAAAGGTTTCTTCTTGTTTTGGATCCATTGCTGGGCATTAGTACAATCTCTTGGGGGTGCTATAACATCCTGTTTTGTCATATTAACAGAATTACTTTTCTGCTTTCTTCTCATTTGAGTACACTACTTCTTTAATTTTTTTTAATTTTATTGTTGGTTTGACTTTTAAAATAGTTGTTTTTCTTCTTAAGGATATGACTTTAATGTTTGTAGTTTATTACAGCTTAATTTGGTTCTTGATGCTTTTAGGGGTAAATACTCTGTATGAGTTTCTTGGTTATAGAGAGTCTTTGTGTGCTGGCTTTCTCAGATTCTGGTTGTATTAATAGTAGTTATGAACTTGTTGTATGAGCAAGTTTACTATCTCCCATGGGGTTGGAATGGCAAGGATCTCTTGAAGCTTATCTCATTCCTTCGTGGTGCACACCTTTTTAATTTAATTTTCCCCACCAGTATCTTATTTACTGAGTTGATGGTTCAGGCTTCAGGCCAGTAGGGGAGGTATCCCTGGCTAGGAACTTGTTGTAGCTAAAGCATTTGGGCAGATGCAATAACCAATGGTGGACAAAGATCCCAGCATTGATGAATGTGCCTGGGGAGCTCTCAATTAAATGCACTTAAGTTTCATTGGGGTGAAGGGTCGGAGCTGCCTCAACTCACTTGCCGGGTCAGCAGAAAAGCTATCTACCTCGCAGCCTCATTCCTGACCCAATGTCCTGGCTATTCAGGTCACTCAGGCATCTCTTTTTATCTGTAGAAATGTTGATGTTCCCAGTAAAAATGAATAGTAACTCTGCCTTTGTGCAAGCCTGAACCTGGGGAGTGCTCCACCAGTGGGGATGCAATTTTTTTTTGAGACTGAGTTTTGCTCTTGTCCCCCAGGAAGGTGTGCAGTGGTACGATCTCAGCTCACTGCAACCTTCACCTCCCAGGTTCAAGTGATTCTCCTGCATCAGCCTCCCAAGTAGCTGAGATTACAGGCATCCACCACCATGCCTGGCTAAGTTTTGTATTTTTAACAGAAACGGGGTTTCACCATGTTGGCCAGGTTGGTCTCGAACTCCTGACCTGAAGTGATCTGCCCACTCGGCCTCCCAAAGTGTTAACATTACAGGTATGAGCCACTGCGCCCAGCCTGCAATCATTCTTAATCATTTCAGAAAGGCTGTCTATAGGTGCATTCATGCTGAAGTCTCATGGGAGAAGCCTCAGTTGTGTCTGCGGTGGTAGACAAGGGGGATGTGGAACAAGAATCTTGTCTCCAAGATCCTTTATTGGCATGAAGTCTTCCTGACTGGAGTAGTGGTGCAGACATTCCCTGCTGCACTCAGCACTGCAATTGTGTCTCTGCTGTATGAAACTTCCCACCAGCAGAAAAATCTGAGACTCAAGGCTTGCTGTCCAGATTCTTTTGTTTTATGGGTGTTCCCTTGATGTGGCACCTTTTCTTTTCCCCTAGGAGTAAGAGTTCCTAAGAACCAGACTGCAGTAATTGTTACTGCTCTTCAAGTGTTAGCCACCCAGTGGGACTGCCACACTCTGGGCTTGTGCTTGGGAATGTCTGCAGGGATCCGTTGATGAAACCTGTCATCAACTCTCTCAGCAGTGGGTACCAGAACCAGCTCTAATGGAGGTGGCAGGGGAGTGACATAGACTGTGAAATTCCTTGGTTGTAGATAGGCTTAGCGTGCTGGCTTTCACAAATGTTGGTCATAATTGTAGTGAACATATCACATAAACAGATTCAGGACTTCTGGTTAGCCAGTGTGTTGCAGGCTGTGGTGATAGCTGAGGCCATGCAGCTGTTTTCTCCTTCCTGGTCACAGTGTTATTCTACCTAGAAATGCTGTAATGGACTGTGTTGGTTGTCCTCCAGCCTGGAGGTGGCACTTGCAAAAGAACACCAGCTCCAGTAGTAGTGGTGAGATTTGAGCTTTTCCTAAGTTGCCCAGGGAGTGTATTCTGGTTTCTCAGGTGATGAGCAGGGCTAAAGCTCCCAAAAATTTGTCATTCATGGTAAGCTACCAGGGCAGATGGAGGCACAACCAGGTTAGGGATACCATTAGGCAGGTCTGGACTCAAACTCTCCTTGGGAGTGGCAAGCCATGGCCCCTAAGAAGTCAGGGGGTGGTACTCAGGCTGCTGGGGTAATGTTCCAGAAGGGATTATAAATGTCCCTTCTACACAGAAGAGTTCACAAAGGGAGTGGGGAGTAGCAGGTGGCAGTAAGATTCATGCAGCTCCAATGCAGTTGACAAAGTAAATCTCACTTCTGCAGTGCTCCACTAACAGCACCAGGATAAGATCCTGGCAGTCTGTGCACAGAACTCAGTCCTGCCCAAAGCAATGAGCTTTTCCCACAGAGATAGCAACAGCAGGTTTCAGGCCACTTGCCTCCTTGTCTGGCCACAAGATCAGTCACCCAAGTCCCGTGTTTGTGTCTGCAGCACATTTCTCACTCACCCCCTGAGTTCTGGTCAAGGGAGTTTTGCCCCACTCAAGATTATATTAAGAAATTCATTTGGGAGCTTCTTTCACCCTGTGACCATTCCTTGAGCTAGTTGGCTGACTTTCCTAGCATCTTGTGTGAGATATAATTAGGAATAACTTCCCTCTGTCCATGATGGAGACTGGAAATGCCTGCAAGGCACTTCCCACTGCTCCTTATACTTTTATATTCCTTGCCACTCCCTAAATCAGTTCCAGCTCTGGGTAGGGTTAAGACCTTTTCCTGTGGCCTCAGTTTTCAGTTCCCCAGTGGAGATGTGTATTCTGGAGGCAGTCTCTGTCCCTATCACACTCTGGGGACTTACAGTTTTTCACCTGTCTCACAGAGTAGGCTGCATCCTGTCACTTTTTTCAAAGGGCCTGTGGATTTTTTTCTTTTAATGTTAAATTCCTGCATTGCTTATTGGATAAAAGTTCACAGTGTGAATCTCTACATACTATTCTGTTCTTCCAAGTGGGAGAGGCAGGCTAACACTGCCTACAATCTGCCATCTAGGAAAATAATCCCCATCACTTTTATTAAACATTATATTGAAGGTTCCAGCCAATGTAATAAGGAAAAATGATATCAGAATAGAGAGTTAAAGTGCTTTTATTATTATTACTGAAAAATAAATAATTAGAGTAAGCTTTGAATTCAAGGAAGCCCAAATAAATAGGATTTGTAGGACAAAGTATTGAAAACTAGAAAGCTGCGGAGTGAGAACTGCAAATGAGAAATTACTGAAAGCTGGAGAAAGGACTACATAGCAGAATTAGATAGAAAAATCCACAGCTAATACAGGGCCAGGAATACTGTCTGTGCGCACCACCCAAAGTGAAAACTTCATTGGAAGTTGTGTTGAAAAATAAGAACTTTTTTTTTCTCAATGGTGGGGGAAAAAATCCCTATACTAATTGTATTTTCTCACCCTCATAAAGCTAAAAAGCAGGAAAATCCCTACACTAATTGTTGCTATTTTCTCACCCTTATAAAGCTAAAAAGCAAGACCTGAGGGGATCGAACTGTTTGAAGCATGGTAACTTAATACAAGAACTAATCTCAAGAGTACTTATGGGAATAAAATATTTCCAACACCAGGTGAATCTCTAGATGGAAATGAGTCATTTGGTGGGCCCTAAGTTATGCTGATTCAGAGATGGCTCCAAGGGAAAAAAAAAAAACTAAATACTTAAAAGCAACAATAAGGATAATAACAAAAACAGTAACAAAAGTATAAAAAACTGAACAGAGACAAAAGTGACTATACGTTGCAGGGGGAAAAACACTACAAAATGAGTACTGTCAAATCACTAAATAAGTAAAACAAAATGAAGAGCAAACAAAATGATTCCTGGGTGGGAAAATAATAATGTATACTTGCCATCATATATTTTATAGTATAATGTTTGAATAAGAAATTATGTTACACAAAAATAGAAAAGTGTGATCCATAGATGAGGCATTGTCCCAGCAAAAAGTGAAAATTCAGCCAGAATTGTAAACATCCTGAATATTAAATGCACTTTTACACACAAATACCTTAAGCAAAGAGTAAAATATATACAGACAAAAAGTGTTTAAGCACATGTAATTATTTGGTGACCACTGAATTATGTTGATATTCTATGTTTGATTCCTGATTTAATAATGTATGTTTTTAATTTATTTTTTGTTGTTGTTAGGGAGTACAGAAAAAGTTTTGTCAAATTTGTTGATCATTCACAGATCAAATTCTTTTTGTTTTTGTATTGTTTTCTGCTATTTATTGAACTTTGATTCTCATATTTATTATTTTCACCCTTTAAGTTTAGGTATCTCTTCATTTTCTTATTTTTTAAAAGTGGAAAAATAGGTTATTGATATGAGATTATTATATTCAAATATATGTGTACAGAGCAATAGCTCTTTCCCTAAGCTCTACTGTAGCTGCATTCCTTAAATTTTGATATATTGTATATTCATTTTGATTTACCACAAAGAATTTTCTAAGTTTATGATTACTTATTTGACCCATATGTTCTCTAGAAGTGCATTGTTTAATTTTTACAATGTTTAAATTTTTTAATTGTTTTTACAATTGTTTAATTTTTACAATTTTTGGATTTCTTAACATTCCTTCATTTGATGACTTCCTGTTTAATTCCATTATGATACAATTACATACTTTGGATAATTCCTATTCTTTTAACTCCATTGAGATTTTCGCTAAGGCCTATCATATGTCTGTTATATAGAATGTCCCATGTTTACTTGAGAATTAAAAATAACTAATAGGTACTAAGCTTAACACCTGGGTGATGCAATAATCTGTACAACAAACCCTCATGATACAGCTTTACCTATACAGCAAATCTGCACATGTGCCCATGAACTTAAAATAAAAATTAAATATAATTAAAATAAAATAAAATTTTAAAAAGAGAAATGTCTATCGGGACAAATTTATCAGTTTTTGTTCTATGTATTTTGGTGCATCTTCTAAGTACCAACACTTTTATAATTTGTATATCTTCCTGGTGATTTTATATTTCTATCACTATAAATGTATGTTCTTGTCTCTGGTGAATTTTATACTTTAAATTTTCTTTATGTAATACTAGTATAGCCACTTAAGTTTTTCGGTTATTGTTTTCATGGTATATATTTTTCTGTCATTTACATTCAATCTCTTTGTGTTTTTAAAACTTAAGTGTGTCTCTGGTAGACAGCAACTAGTAGATATATTAATTCAGCCTATTTATGTTTTCGATGGAGTGTTTAATCCATCTATAGCTAATTTTATTATTAATATGGTTGGAATTATGTCTTCTATGTGTTCCATACATGTGTGTGCTTGTTTTGTTCCTCTGTTCCTACTTTACTAGCTTATTTTGTACCAAAGAGATATTATTTAATCATCATGTATTTGTTGACTTTTTAATTTAAATTCTTACTTTTATTTTTTAATTGTGGCAAAATATACACAGCATAAAATTTACCATTTTAACTTTTTGCCAGTATACAGTTCAGAAGCATTTGCACATCCACCTTGTTGTGTAACTATCATCACGATCTATCTCCAAAACATTTTTTATTTTCCAAAACTGAAACTCGGTGCTCAGACAAAGATTTCATGATGAAGATGCCAAAAGCAATTGCAACAAAAGCATAACTTGGCAAGTGGGATCTAATTAAACTAAATAATGTCTGCACAGCAAAATAAATAATCAACAGAATAAACAGCCTACAGAATGAAAGAAAATTTTTGCAAATGATTCATCTGACAAAGGTCTAATATCCAGCATCTATAAGAAACTAAAACAAATTTATAGTATAAAACAAATAACCCCATTAAAAAGGGAGCAAAGGACATAAACAAACACTTTTGAAAATAAGACATACATTTGGCCAATGATCATATTTTTAAAAACTCAACATCACTGATCATTAGAGAAATGCAAATCAAAACTACAATGAGATATCATCTCACCCAGTCAGAATGGCTATTATTAGAAAGTCAAAAAATAACAGATGCTGGCAAGATTGTGGAGAAAAAGGAATGCTTACAAACTATTGGTGGAACTGTAAATTAGTTCTACCATTGGGGAAGACGGTATGGTAATTCCTCAAAACCTAAAGACAGAAATAGCATTTCACCCGGCAATCTCATTACTGGGTATGTACCCAACAGAACATAAGTTATTCTATTATAAAGACACATGCACAAATGTGTTTACTACAGCACTATTCACAATAGAAAAGATATGGAAACAATCTAAATGTCCATCTTATTCACAATAGCAGAGACATGGAATCAATCTAAATGTCCATCTATAATAGACTACATAAAGAAAATATGGTACATATACACCATGGAATAGTATGCAGCCATAAAAAAGAATGAGATCATGTCTTATGCAATAACATGGATGGAGCTGGAGGCCACTATCCTTAGCAAACAAAGGCATGAACTGAAAACCAAATACCACATTTTCTCACTTAAAGTGGGAGCTAAATGATGAGAACACATTGACACATGGTGGGGAAACAACACACACTGGTGCCTTTTGGTGGGTAGACAGTTGGGGGAGAGAGAGGAACAGGAAAAACAACTAATGGGTACCAGGCTTAATACCTGGGTGATGAAATGATCTGTCCAACAGATCTCCATGATAGTTTACCTATGTAACAAACCTGCACATGTACCCCTGAATTTAAAATAAAAGTTAAAAAATAAAACAAAATAAAACAATAAACTCTGTGCTCATTAAACACTAAATAACCACTTTTCCTTACACCCAGTCCCCATCCATCACAATTCTGCTTTCTGTCTCTATAAATTTGCCCCTGCAGGTACATCATGCAAGTAGAATTATGCAAATTGTCTTTCTCTGACTGGCTTATTTTACTTAGCATCATATCTTCAAATTTTATCCATGCTGTAACAGGTGTCACAATTTCTAAGGTTAAATAATGTCACATTTTATATACCACATTTTGTTTATCCATTCCTCCAATGGTGGACACAGGCTGTTTTCACCTTTTGGCTAATGTGAATATGCAGCTATGAACAAGGTATAGAAATATCTGAGTTCCTACTTTTAATTCTTTTGAGTATACACTCAGAAAATCTTACTCAGCTAGATCATATGGTAAGGTTTTTTTTCAAAAATGTCACACTGCTTCCATAGTGGCTACATCATTGTACAATGTCATCAACAATGAACAAAAGTTAAAATCTGTCCACATTCTCACCAACACTAGTTCCTTCTTATTTTATAATAGCCATCCTACTGGATGTGAAGTAGTATCTCCTTGTAGTTTTGATTTGTATTTTCCTAATGATTAGTCATGTTGGGCATGTTTTCATGTGCTTATTGGCCATTGGTATAATTTTTTTTGTAGAGAAATGTCTATTCACGTTTTTTACCCATATTTTAAAATTAAACTGTTTTATATATATATATAAATACATGTGTGCACACACATACATATTTTGTAGTATGCAATTCGAAAAAAAAGAAAAAGTTAGGGTAGGCAGAAAGACAGGAGAAAAAGAAGTTATCTATTAAATACAGCAGCATAACTGAGTCACAGTTTACTTAACTAACCTGATCTAAAACAAGCAGTTTCTTTGCTACATCATTAACTAGCTAAGTCATGGTTACTTTCAACATGATAGTCAAGAAATCCATTTCTGTTTTTTTTTTTTTGTTTACTCTAAAGTCTTGTTGTAACATCCAATAAACCATTACAACAATTAAGATAACAAACATGTTTATCAACACCAGAAGTTTTCTCATGCTCCTCTGTAATCCATCCCCACTTTCTGTCCCAGACAATCACTGACCTTTTCCTGTCATAATTTTTTTAAATTCTAAATAACTAGACTTATATAGCATGTAACCATTTCACACCTGAATTTTTAACTTAGTGTAACTATTTTGAGAGTCATCTGTGTTGTTGTGTGTATCAATACTTGGCTCCTTTTTATTGCTGAGTAGCATTCCATTATATGAATATATGATAATTCATTTATCAATTCACCTTTTGATAAAAATTCGTGTTGTTCCAGCTTTTTATTTTTATACATAAGGTTACAATGAATAATCATGTACAAGCCTTTATTTTATTTTATTTTATTTTAGTTTAGTTTAAGATGGAGTTTCACTTTTTCTCACCAAGGCTGTAGTGCAATGGCACAATCTTGGCTCACTTCCACTTCCGCCTCCCAGGTTTAAGCAATTCTCCTGCCTCTGCTTCCCGAGTAGTTGGGATTACAGGCACCCGCCACAATGCCCAGCTAAATTTTGTATTTTTAGTAGAGGCAGTGTTTCACCGTGTTGGCCAGGCTGGTCTAGAACTCGTGAACTCAGGTGATCCGCCCACCTCGGCCTCCCAAAGTGCTGGGATTACAGGCATGAGCCACCACGCCGGTCTTACAAGTCTATTTATTGACATTTCATTTCTCTCAGTAAATACTCAAAAATAAAGTGTCTGAGTTGTGTGGTAGTTGTATATTATTTGTTAATAAATAATTTTCAATTTTTATTTTTAATTTTAAATTGACAAATTATAGTTGTATATGTTTATGTGGTACAAAATGAGGTTATAATCTATGAATATAATGTGTAATAATTGAATAAGTCTAACATATCTATCACCTCAAATACTTATTTTTGTGGTGAGAACATTTGAAGCTTTCTTAGCTATTTTAAAATGTACATTATTATCTACTATATTCTACATGGTATGCAATATATTGGAATGTAAAAAAAAAGCGCAACACTTATTCCTTCTATTTAATTGAGGTTTTGCACCTCTTAACCGTAATTTCTTTATTTCTCCCAGTTTCCAGGCCTCTGATAATCACAATTTTACTATCTGATTCTTTGAGTTGGATTGTTTTAGATTCCACATTAAGTATTGTGATATTTGTCTCTCTGTGCTTAGCTTATTTCATATGGCATAATGTTCTCCAATTTCATTCACATAGTCAAAATTGACAATTTTTTTGTTTGTTTGTTAAGGCTGAATAGTATTTCATTGTGCATACAGGCAGACCTCGTAGATATTGCAGGTTTGGTTCCAGACCACAGCAAAAAAGCAAATATTACAATAAAACAAATTACACAAAGTTTTTGGTTTTCCAGTGCATATAAAAGATGTGTTTACATTATACTGTAGACCATTTGTGTGTACAATAGCATTATGTCTAAAGTACAATGTATATACCTTAATTCTAAAATATTTTATTGCTAAAAGTGCTAAAAACTTATCTGAGCTTTCAGGGAATCATATTTTTTAATGATGGAAGATTCTGCCTCAATGTTGATGGCTGCTTACTGATTAGGGTGAAAATTGCTAAAGGTTTGAGTGCTGGTGACAATTACTTACAAAAGACAAACATGAATTTTGCTGCATTGATTGACCATTCACAAAACATTTCTCTGTAACATGCCTTGGTATTTGGTAGCATTTTATTTACTGTAGAGCTTCTTTCAAAATTAGTTAATCTTCTCAACTTCTCACACTTTATTATCAATTAAGTCTATGTAATATTCCAAATCTTTTATAGTCATTTCAACCATGTTCACAGTATCTTCATCAGAAATAGATACCATCTCAAGAAATCACTTTTTTTGCTGATCCATAAAAAGCAACTCTTTATCTATTTGAGTTTTACTATGAGATTGCAGTAATTCAGTCACATCTTCTAGATCCACATTTAATACTAGTTCTCTTGCTATTTCCACCATATCTACAGTTTCTTACTCCACTAAAGTCTTGAACTCCTCTAAATCATTCATGAGGATTGAAATTAATATCTTCCAAACTCTTGTCAATGCTGATATTTTGACCTCCTTCCATGAAATATTAAAGTTTTAATGGCATGTAGAATGGTGAATCCTTTCAAGAAGGTTTTTAGTTTACTTTGCTCAGGTTCATCAAAGGAATCACTATCTATGGCCGCTATAGCCTTACTAAATATATTTCTTAATGAATAAGACTTGAAAGTCAAATGTACTTTTAGACCCATGGGGAATAAAATGAATGTTGTGTTACCAGGCATGAAAACAACATTAATATCCTTCTACATCTCAATCAGCACTGTTGGCTGACCAGGTGCATTATCAATGAGAAGTAATATTTTGAAAGAAATCTTTCTTTCTGAGCAGTAGGTCTCAACAATGGGCTTAAAGTATTCAGTAAACCATACTGTAAATAGATGTGCTTTAATATTGACTTTGTTGTTCCATTGATAAAGCACAGTAGAGTAGACTCAGGGTAATTCTTAAAGGCTCTAGGATTTTCAGACAGGTAAATAAGCATTGTCTTTACCTTTAAGTCACAAGCTGGATTAGCCTCTAACAAGAGAATCAGCCTGTCCTTTGAAGCTTTGAAGCCAGATATTAACTTCTCTCTGTTATGAATATTCTATTATATATGTCATCTTCTTCCAATATAAGGCTGTTTAACCTGCATTAAAAATAAAATATTTACTGCAGCCACCTTTGTCAATTATCTTAGTTAAATCTTCTAAATAATTTGCTGCAACTTTTGCATCAATATTTGCTGGTTCACATATCCTTCTATGTTGTGGAGATGGCTTCTTTCCTTCAACCTTATGAACCAATCTCTGCTAGATTCAAAGTTTTCTTCTTCAGCTTCATCACCTATCTCAGCCTTCATAGAATTTAAGTGAGACAGGGCATTGTTCAGGATTAGGTTTTAGCTTGAAAGAGTGTAAGAACTGATTTGATTTTCTATCCAGATCACTAAAACTTTGTCCATATCAGCAATAAAGCTGTTTTACCTTCTTTTCATTCATGTGTTCACTGGAGTAGCATTTTAAATTTCCTTCAGGAACCATTCCTTTGCATTCACAGCATGGCTGCTTGGTGCCAGAGTCCTAGCTTTTGACGTGTTTTGGGTTTTGATATTTATTACTCATAAAACTTTGTCTCTTCTACCTTTTGATTTAAATTAAGAGACATGCAACTCTTTCTTTGACTTCAACACTTAGAGGTCATTGTAGGCTTATTAATTAACCTAATTTTTTAAAATTATTATTATCATTATTTTTTATTGTATTTTAAGTTCTAGGGTACATGTGCACAACGTGTAGGTTTGTTACATATGTATACATGTGACATGTTGGTGTGTTACACCCATTAACTCGTCATTTACATTAGGTATATCTCCTAATGCTATCCCTCCCAGCTCCCCCAACCCCACAACAGGCCCTGGTGTGTGATGTTCCCCTTCCTGTGTCCAAGTGTTCTCATTGTTCAATTCCCACCTATGAGTGAGAACATGCGGTGTTTGGTTTTTTGTCCTTGTGATAGTTTGCTGAGAATGATGGTTTCCAGCTTCACCCATGTCCCTACAAAGGACATGAACTCATCATTTTTTATGGCTCCATAGTATTCCATGGTGTATATGTGCCACATTTTCTTAATCCAGTCTATCATTGATGGGCATTTGGGTTGGTTCCAAGTCTTTGCTATTGTGAATAATGCCACAATAAACATACATGTGCATGTGTCTTTATAGCAGAATAATGTATAATCCTTTGGGTATATACCCAGTAATGGGACTGCTGGGTCAAATGGTACTTCTAGTTCTAGATCCTTGAGGAATCACCACACTGTCTTCCACAATGGTTGAACCAGTTTACAGTCCCACCAACAGTGTAAAAGTGTTCCTATTTCTCTACATCCTCTCCAGCACCTGTTGTTTCCTGAATTTTTAATGATCTCCATTCTAACTGGTGTGAGATGGTATCTCATTGAGGTTTTGATGTGCATTTCTCTGATGACCAGTGATGATGAGCACTTTTTCATGTGTCTGTTGGCTGCATAAATGTCTTCTTTTGAGAAGTATCTGTTCATACCCTTTTCCTACTTTTTGATGGGGTTGTTTGATTTTTTTCTTGTAAATTTGTTTGAGTTCATTGTAGATTCTGGATATTAGCCCTTTGCCAGATGAGTAGATTGCAAAAATTTTCTCCCATTCTGTAGGTTGCTTGTTCACTCTGATGTTAGTTTCTTTTGCTGTGCAGAAGCTCTTTAGTTTAATTAGATCCCATTTGTCAATTTTGACTTTTGTTGCCATTGCTTTTGGTGTTTTAGACATGAAGTCCTTGCCCATGCCTATGTCCTGAATGGTATTGCCTAGGTTTTCTTCTATGGTTTTTATGGTTTTAGGTCTAAAATTAAGTCTTTAATCGATCTTGAATTCATTTTCGTGTAAGGTGTAAGGAAGGGTTCCAGTTTCAGCTTTCTGCATATGGCTAGCCAGTTTTCCCAGCAACATTTATTAAATAGGGAATCACTTCTCCATTTCTTGTTTTTGTCAGGTTTGTCAAAGATCAGATAGTTGTAGATATGCGGCATTATTTCTGAGGGCTCTGTTCTGTTCCATTGGTCTATATCTCTGTTTTGATACCAGTACCATGCTGTTTTGGTTACCATAGCCTTATACTATAGTTTGAAGTCAGGTATTGCAGCTTTGTTCTTTTGGCTTATAATTAACCTAATTTTAATATTGTTATGTCTCAGGAAATAAGGAGGCCTGAGGAGAGGGAGAGAGATAGAGGAATAGCCAGAAAGTAGATCAGTCAAAATATGCATGTATATTCATTAAGGTCACTGTCTTATATGGGCATAATTAGCCTCTCAAAACAATTTCAATAGTAAGATCACTAATCACAGACCACCATGAAAAATATAATAAAATGAAAAGACTTAAAATATTATGAGAATTACCAAAATATGACAAAAACATTATGTGAACACATGTTGTTGGAAAAATGGCACTGATAAATTTGGTTGATGCAGGATTGCCACAAACCTTCAATTTGCAAAAAAAAAAAAAAGGCAATAACTGTGAAGTGGAATTAAATAAAACATGCCTATATATACCACTTTATCTTTCTTCATTCATCTTCATATCTTTCTTTATTCCCACCAACAGTGCATAAGCATCCCTGTTTCTCCACATCCATGCCAACATTCATCTGTTGATAGACACTAAGGTTTATTCTATAACTTGGCTATTACGAACAATGCTGCAATGAACATGAAAATGCAGACTTCTTTTCAACATACAGATTTCAACCCTTTGGAGTAAATACCAGGGGGTGGGATTGCTGGATCATATTGTAATTCTATTTTTATCTTTCTGAGAAAGCTCCATACAATTTTTAAAATAGTTTTACTAGTTTACATTTTTACCAATTAGGTACAAGTGTACCCTGTTTTTCACATCCTTGACAACACTTGTCATCATTCATCATTTTTGGTGGAGGGAAGCACACTAGAAATAAAATATTTATACTCTTTTTTTATATTTTTTTCACTCATTTTATGCACAACTGAAATAGAATATGCATTTTAACTTTATTTTCAAGGGGTACATGTGTAGGTTTCTTACATGAATATAGTGCATAATGGTAAGGTTTGGGCTTCTGGTATACCCATCATTCAAACAGTGAACATTGTACCCAATAGATATTTTTACAACACTCACACTCCTCTCCCCTTCCCCTTGTTTGGAGACCCCAGTGTTCATAACATTCATCTTTGTGTCTATGTGTTCCCATTGTTTATCTCCAACTAATAAGTGAGACCCTGCAGTGTTTGATTTTTTGTTTCTGAGTTATTTTACTTAGGACAATGGCCTCCAGCTCCATCCATATTCTGGCAAAGAACAAGATTTTATTCTTTTTATGGCTGCACAGTATTTCATTGTGTATGTATACCACATTATATTTATTCAATTAACCAGTGAAGACAATGAGGTTAATCTCATGACTTTGCTACTATGAATAGAGTAAACATATGAGTGCAGATTTGTTTTTTATACAATAACTTATTTTCCTTTGGGTAGATAGTAGTTAGATTGCTGGGTAGAATGGTAGTTCTATTTTCAGTTCTTTGAAATAGTTTCATACTGTTTTACACGAGGCTTGTGCTAACTTAAATTCCCACCAACAGTGCATAAACATCTGTGTTTCTCCACACCCGTGCCAACATCTATTGTTTTTGATTTTTTAATAATAATTCTGACTAGTATAAACTAGTTTCTCATTGTTGTTTTAATTTGCGTTTATCTGATTATTACTGATGTGCATTATTTCATGTTTCTTAGCTGCTTGTATGTCGTCTTTTAAAAAAATGCTCATTCTTGTTCTTTGTCCACTTTTTAATGAAGTTGTTTGTTTTTTCTTGTTGAGTTGTTTGAGTTCCTTGAAGATTATTTTTGTCAGAGGATTAATTTGCAAATATTTTCTCCCACTTTGTAGGTTGTCTGTTTACTCTGTTGAATATTTCTATTGCTGTGCAGAACCTTCTTAGTTTAGTTTGGTCCCTTTTGTCTATTTTGGGTTTTTATTTTGTATTCACTTTTGAGGTCTTATTTATAAATTATTTTCCTAAATCAATGACCAGAAGAGTTTCTCCTTGATTTTCTTCTGGAATTTTTATAGTTTCAGGCTTTACATTTAGGTCTTTAATCCATTTTGAGTTAATTTTTGTATATCATGATAGGTGAAGGTCCAGATTTATTCTTCTGCATATGGCTGGCCAATTTATTCAGCACCAATTATTGAAAAAGGAGTTCTTTCTTTATTGCTTATTTATGCTGGTTTTGTTGAAGGTCAGTTGGTCATAGGTGTGTGGCTTTATTTCGGGATTTTCTATTCCGTTCCATTGATCTGTGTGTCTATTTTGGTACTAGTACAATGCCGTTTTAGTTACTATAACCTTGTAGTATGATTTGATGTCAGGCTATGTAATGGCTCTAGCTTTGTGTGTTTTGCTTAGGATTGCTTTGGCTATTTGTACTCTTTTTTGATCCCATATAAACTTTATTTATTTATTTATTTATTTGTTTGTTTATTTATTTTGAGACAGTCTTATTCTGTTGACCAGGCTGGAATTCAGTGGCATAATCTTGGCTCAGTGCAACCTCTGCCTTTTGAGTTCAAGTGATTCTCCTCCCTTAGTCTCTAGAGTACCTGGGGTTTCAGGCACGCACCACCATGCCAGGTTATTTTATTTTATTTTATTTCGATTTTTAGTAGGGATGGGGTTTCACCATGTTGACCAGGCTGGTCTTGACCTTCTGGCCTCAAGTGATCCACTGGACTCAGCCTCCCAAAGTGCTGGGACTACAGGCATGATCCACCATGCCTGGCTCCATATAAACTTTAGAATTGTTTATTCTAAAGTTGTGAAAAATGTCATTAGTAAATTGATATTAACTGCATTGAATCCATAGACTGCTTTGGGCAGTGTGGTCATTTTAATAATATTTATTCTTCTAATTGATGAGTATGGGACATTTTTCCATTTGTATCATCTACAATTTCCTTCATCAATGATTTCTAGTTCTCCTTGTAGAGACTTTACCTTCTTACTTAAATGTATTCTGGCTTTCTTAAGGCCATTGTAAATAAAATTTCATTCTCAGTTTGGTTCTCAGCTTGATTGTTATTGGTGTATGAAAATGCTACTAATTTGTGTACACTGATTCTTTATTCTGAAACTTTGACTGCAGATTTTGTCAGTTCTAAGAGCCTTTTGGTGGAGTCCTCAGAGTGTTCTAGGTATAAAATCATATCATCAGTAAAAATAGGTAATTTGATTTAAGTTCTTATTTGAATGCCTTTTATTGCTTTCACTTGTCTCATTGCTCTGTAGGATTTCTTGAACTATGTTGAATAGGAGTGGTGAGAGTGCACAACCTCATCTTGTTTTAGTCTGAGAGAAAATGCTCCCCACTTTTTCCATTTAGTATAATGTTGGCTGTGGGTTTGTAATATAAGGCTCTTATTATTTTGAGATACGTTTCTTTAATGTCTAGTTTGGTTTTTTAGTGTTTTTATCGTGAAGGAATGTTGGACTTCATGGAATCCATTTTCTGCATCTATTGAGATGATTATATGGTTTTTATTTTTAAATCTGTTTATGTGGTGATTGATTTATTGATTTGTATGCCTTGAACCATCTTTGCATCTCTGGGAGAAAATCTATTTGATCACAATGTATTATCTTTTTGATGTGCTATTGGAATTGACTTGTTAGTATTTTGCTCAGGATTTTTTCATTTATGCTCACCTTGGATATTTGTCTGTAGTTTTCTTTCTTGTTATTGTGTGTTTGCCTGATTTGGTATCAGAGTGATACAGGCTTTGTAGTATGAGTTAGGGAGAAATCTCTCCTCTTTGGTATTTTTGAATAGTTTTAGTAGAATTGGTACTAGAGCCTGCATGTACATCCGGCAAAATTTGGCTATGAATCTGTTTAGTCCTGGTCTTCTTTGTTGAAAAATTTTACTACTGATTTGATTTAATTGCTCATTATTGGTCTGTTCAGGATTTCTGCTTCTAGTTTTAATTATCTATTTAAATTTTTGTGAGTACATAGTAGGTGTATATATTTGTGAAGTAAATTAGATGTTTTGGTACAGGCACATAATGCATAATAATCACATTATAGAAAATGGAGCATCCATTCCCTGAAATATATATCTTTTGTGTTACAAACAATCCAATTATAACTCTTTTTAGTTATTCTAAAATGTGCAATTAAATTATTGTGTTAGACTGTTCTCACATGGTTATAAAGAAATACCTGAGACTGGGTAATTTATAAAGAAGGTTTTGACAGAGCTGACATTGTCTCCTCCACACGCTGTTACAGCACTTTCCAGAGCCTTCTCTCTCCTGTGCAAAATAGCAACTCTTAAGGAAAAACTCATTGTACCAGTTGCGGAAGAAGAGGCAACAGTCCAAAACAATAAGATCACTGTAGTGAGTGTTGGACAAGTTGGTATGGCGTGTGCTATCAGCATTCTGGGAAAATCTCTGGCTGATGAATTTGCTTTTGTGGATGTTTTGGAAGATAAGCTTAAAGGAGAAATGATGGATCTGCAGCATGGGAGCTTATTTCTCAAGAAGCTTAAAATTGTGGCAGATAAAGATTATTCTGTGACTGCCAGTTATAAGATTGTAGTGGTAACTTCAGGAGTCCTTCAGCAAGAGGGGGAGAGGCGTCTCAATTTGGTGCAGAAAAAATGTTAATGTCTTCAAATTCATTATTCCTCAAATTGTCAAGCACACTTCTGATTGCACATAATTGTGGTTTCCAACCTAGGGGACATTCTTACGTATGTTACCTGGAAAATAAGTGGATTACTCAAACACCATGTGATTGGAAGTGGATGTAATCCGGATTCTGCTAGATTTCACTGCCTTATGGATGAAAAATTTGGCATTCATCCCAGCAGCTGCCATGGAAGGATTTTGGGGGAACATAGTGACTCAAGTGTGGCTGTGTGGATTGGCATGAATGTGACAGGTTTTTCTCTCCAGGAATTGAATCCAGAAATAGGAACTGACAATGATAGTGAAAATTGGAAAGAAGTGCATAAGATGGTGGTTGAAAATGCCTATGAAGTCAACAAGCTAAATGGATATACCCACTGGGATATTGGATTAAGTGTGGCTGATCTCATTGAATCCATGTTGAAAAATCTATCCAGGATTCATCTCGTGTCAACAATGGTAAAGGGGATGTATGGCATCGAGAATGAAGTCTTCCTGAGCCTTCCATATATCCTCAATGCCCGGGGATTAACCAGCGTTATCAACCAGAAGCTAAAGGATGATGAGGTTGCTCAGTTCAAGAAAAGTACAGATACCCCGTGGGACATCCAGAAGGACCTAAAAGACCTGTGACTACTGAGCTCTAGGCTGTAGAAATTTAAAAACTACAATGTGATTAACTCTGAGCCTTTAGTTTTCATCCATTTACTGGATCCCAGTTTGCTTTGATCTTCTTCAACGTGAATTTGGGCTCACAGAATCAAAGACTATGCTTGGTTTAATGCTTGCAGTATGAGTTCTTGAACAAATAAAATTAACTATTGTAGTGTGTTTCTGAAAAAAAAAAGGGAAAGCAAGAAGGTTTAATTGGCTCATGATTCTGCAGGTTGTACAGAAAGCATAGCATCATCTGCTTCTGAGGAAGCCTCAGGAAGCTTCTCATCATGGCAGAAGGCAAAGGGAGAGCCGTAACATCACATGGTGAAAGCAGGAGCAAGATACTGAGACGAGAGGTGCTATACACTTTAAAATGACTAGCTCTCACAAGAATTCACTCACTATTATGAGAGTACCAAGGGGGAATACTGCTAAACCATTCATGAGAAGTCCACCCCCATGATTAAATCACCTCTCACCAGGTCCCACCTCCAACACTGGGGATTACATTTCAATATAAGATTTGGATAGGAACACACATACAAACAATATCAATTATAATTGACTGTAGCCCCCCTGTTGTACTATCACATACTAGGTTTTATTCATTCTTTCTATTTTTTTATACCCATTAACTATCCCTACATCCTCCCCAACCCCCTCCTACACTTCCCAGCCTCTGGTAACAATCCTTCTACTCACTATCTCAATGAATTTATTTTTTTCTATTTCTTCCTGGTCAATATTGGTAGGTTTTATGTTTCCAGAAATTTATTTATTTCTTCTAGATTTTTTAGTTTGTGCACATAGCAATGTACATAGTAGTCTCTGATGATCATTTCGTATTTCTGTGGAATCTATTGTGACCTCTATTATTTCTTCTAATATTTATTTGAATCTTCTCTTTCTTCTTGGTTAATCTAGCTAGTGGTCTATAAATTTCATTATTATTTCCAAGAAAAAATTTTTGTTAATAATTTGCACGGTTTTTGTGGTCTCAGTCTTGTTTATTATTGCTATAATCTTTGTAACTTCTTTTCTTAAGCTAACTTTGTATTTAGTTTGTTCTTGTTTCTCAAATTGCTTGAGGTGCAATGTTAAGTTGTTCATTTGAGATCTTTCTATGCCTTTGATGTAGGCATTTAATGCTGTCAACTTTCCTCTTAACACTACTTTTGCTGTATCCCAGAGGTTTTGCTATGTTGTATCTCTATTTTTGTTCATTTTAAAAACTTGTTTTATTTCTGCCTTAATTTTGTTGTTTACTCAAAAGTTATTCAGGAACAAGTTGTTTAGCTTCAGTGTACTTGTATAGTTTTGAGAGTTCCACTCGGAATTGTTTCTTATTTTATTTTATTGTGGTCCAAGATGATACTTGATAGAATTTTGCTTTTTATTGAATTTATTGACTTGTTTTATGGCCAAGGATAGGACCAATTTTGGAGGATGTTCCATGTGCAGATGAGAAAAAGTGTATTCTGCAGTTGCTGGGTAGAATGTTCTGTAAATGATGTAAATGTCTATTAGTTCCAATTGGTCAACAGTCTAGTTTAACTATAATTTTTTGTTAATTTTCTGCCTTGATGCTCTGCCTAGTGTTGTCAGTGTGGTGCTAAAGTCCCCCACTATTATTTTATTGCTGTTCATTTCTTTTTTTAAGCCTAGTGGTAGTTGTTTTATGAATCTGAGTGCTATTGTATTTAATGCATACATATTTAGAATACTTGTTCTATTGACCACTTTATCATTATACAAGGCTCTCCTTTGTCCTTTTTTTTACTGTTGTTGATTTAGAGTTTGTTTTATGTTTTATGTGATATATGAACAGCTGCTCCTAGTTACTTTTTTTCATGTATGTGATATATCTTTTCTCACATCTTTACTTTAAATCTGTAGGCGCCTTTAGCCATTTTCTGTGTCTCTTGTAGGCAGAAGGTGGTTGAGTCTTTTTCATTGTATCCAATTTGCCAGTCTATATCTTTTAAGTGGAACATTTAAACCAGGTGTGTTTAGAGTTAATATTGGTATCAGTGAGGTTTTCTTTTTGTCATAGTGTTTTTAGTTAGCTAATTTATAGTCTCCATTTTGTGACAGCTTTATAGGATGTGAATTTTGCACTTACATGTGATTTTATGATTATGAGTATCATCCTTTTGCTTTCATGCTTCTAACTCCTTTGAATATTTCTTGTAGGGCTGATCTAGTGGTGATAAATTCCTTTAGCATTTGCTTATCTTGGAAAGACTTTTTTCACCCTCATTTATGAAACTTAGTTTGGCAGGATATAAAATTTTGACTGGCATTTATTTCTTTAAGAAGGCTAAAAAGGTCTGTCTCGCTGGCATTCCAGGCGCCACTGGTGTATGAAAAAAACTCTTGCAGGTAGTTTGGTGTCTGTCCAAATGGCTGCCCAGTTTTGTGCTAAAACTCAGGGCCCTGGTGGCATAGGCACCTAAGGGAATCTCCTGGTCTGTGGGTTGTGAAGACTGTGGAAAAAGCATAGTATCTGGGGCCAGAGTGCACTATCCCTCATGGCACAGCCCCTCACAGCTTCCCTTGGCTAGGGGAGGGAGTTCCCTGACCCCTTGTGCTTCCCGGGTGAGGCAACACCCCAGCCTGCTTCTGCTCACCCTCTGTGGGCTGCACCCACTGTCTAATCAGTCCCAATGAGATGAGCCAGATACCTCAGTTGGAAGTGCAGAAATCATCCACCTTTTGCATTGATCTTGCTGGGAGCTGCAGACCAGAGTTGTTCCTATTTGGCCATCTTGACAGTCACCAGCCCCCCATCTCTTATAGCTTGTAGGCTTTCTGCTGAGAAATCTGCTGTTAATCTGATAGACTTTTCTTTATAGGTTACTTTGTGCTTTTTATTCTTTCTTTTGTCTTAACTTTGGATAAGGAAACTGTGGTATACATATATGATGGAATACTACTCAGGGATTTTTGTCACCAGCAGGAGTGTTTTGCAAGAGCTCCTGAAAGAATCACTAAATATGGAAAGGAAATACTGGTGCCAACAACTGCAAAAACACATTAAATTATAAAGACCAATAAAACTATGAAGAAACTGCATCAACTAGTGTGCAAAATAACCAGCTAGTATCATGATGACAAGATAAAATTCACACATAAAAATATTAAACTTAAAAGTAAATGGGCTAAATATCCCAAATAAAAGACATAGACTGGCAAATTGGATAAAGAGCCAAGACCCATCAGTGTGCTGTACTCAGGAGACCCATCTCATGTGCAAAGACACACATAGGCTGAAAATAAAGGAATGGAGGAAAATTTACCAAGCAAATGGAGAGTGGAAAAAAGCAGGAGTTACAATCCTGGTTTCTGACAAAAGACACTTTAAACCAACAAAGATCAAATAAGACAAGGAAGGGTATTACATAATGGTAAAGGGATCAATTCAACAAGAACAGCTAACTATCCTAAATGTATATGCACCCAACACATGAGCACTCGGATTCATAAAACAAGTTCTTAGAGACCTACAAAGAGACTTGGACTCCCACACAACAATAGTGGAAGACTTTAACACTCCACTGTCAATACTAGACAGATCAATGAGACAGAAAATTAGCAAGAATATTCAGGACTTGAACTCAGATCTGGGTCAAGTGGACCTAATAGATATCTACAGTATTCTCCACCCAAAATCAATACAATATACATTCTTCTCAGTGCTGCATGCATGGCATTTATTCTATAATAGACCCCATAATTGAAGTAAACTCCTCCTCAGCAAATGCAAAAGAACTGAAATCATAACAAACAGTCTCTCAGACCACAGTGAAATCTAATTAGAACTCAGGATTAAGAAACTCACTCAAAACCACACAACTACATGGAAATTGAACAATCTGCTCCTGAATGACTCCTGGGTAAATAATAAAATTAAGGCAGAAATCAAGAAGTTCTTTGAAATCAATGAGAACAAAGAGACAATGTACCAGAATCTCTCGGACACAGCTAAAGCAGTGTTAAGAGGCCCCACCCAGTGAGGAGGGATTGCTCAGGTTCAGACCTGAAGAGGCACTCTGACTGCAGTCTTCCACTGCTGGTGTGTTGGGCTGTGGGGAATACCTCTTGGGACCTGGCAATCAAACACCCCTGGCTCTAGCAGGGTAAAAGTGTTACCTGGAGCTATAGAGATGGCTGCCGCTCTTCCCCAGTTCTAGAAGCTTAGTGTGTTAGGCAGCTAGCAGTCCCAGTGTTGGCTGCCACCCTTCCCCCAAGGAACTCAGATGGCTTAGACAGCAGGCAGCAACAGCTGTGATGATGGCCACCCCTCTGCCAAGGAACTCAGCAGGCTTAAGCAGATTCTAGCTGAGTGGCTGTTGAGAGTCTGCACAGCTCCTTTGTTGGGACCCTAGGCCCCAGTGGCATGGGCTCATGAGTAGGATCTTTAATTCCATGGGTTGTACGGTTCTTTTGCACAGAAACTGTGCAAAAGCACAGTTTCCCAGGCTGGGTAGCACACTCACTCACTGCCTCCCTTGGTTGGGGGTTGGGGGCTTCTTTGCCCCATGTGGCTCTTAGAAGTGCCACCACACCACAGTGCTCTTTCTTCCTCTCTGTGGGTCATCCCAGCCGTCTAGTCAGTCCTGATGACAGAACCTGGATACCTCGGTTGCTGGTGCAGGATTCACACACTGTTTTAGTTCTTATTGATGGGAGTCTCTGATCTCTGCTATTTCAAGTCAACCATCATGGTCCCACTTCTCCAGATATCTCTTCAATATACTGATTTCCTTTCTTTTGGGTATATACCCAGCAGTGGGATTGCTGTATCATATGGTAGTTTAATTTTAGTTTTTGGGGGAAACTTCAAACTGTCTTCCATAGTGGTTGTATTAATTTACACTCCCACCAGCAGTGTACAAAGGTGCCCTTTTCTCCACATTCTCACCAGCCTTTGTTATTGTCTCCTTTTGAATATAAGGCATTTTGACTGGAGTGAGGTGATAACTCATTGCAGTTTTAATTTGCAGTTCTCCAATGATCAATGATGTTGAGCAACTTTTCATGTGTCTGTTTGGCATTTATATGTCTTCTTTTGATAAATGTCTATTCAAATCTTTTGCCCATTTTCTAAACTGGATTATTAGATTTTTTCTATAGAGTTGTTTGAGCTTCTTATATATTGTGGTTGTTAATTCCTTGTCACATGAGTAGTTTCAAAATATTTTCCTCCAATCTTAAGTTGTCTCTGCATTTTGTTGACTGTATCATTCATTGTTCAGAAGTTATTTAGCTTGGTAAAATCTTATTTATCAATTCCTGTTTTGGTTCACTGTGCTTGTGGGGTGTTGCTTGAGAAATTTTTCCCCTACCTTTGCCCTGGAAACTTTTCCTAAAGTTTTCTTATACTAATTTTTCACATTTTGAGATCTTAAATTTAAATCCATTTTGATTTGATTTTTGTATATGGTGAGACATAGGTGTCTAGTTTTATCATTCTGCATATAGATATTCAGTTTTTCCAGCACTATTTATTGAAGAGATTGTCTTTTCCCCAGTGTATGCTATTGACACCTTTCTTGAAAATGAAGTCACTAAAAATGCATGGAATTGTTTCTGAGTTCTGTATTCTGTTGCATTGGTATATGTGTCTGTTTTTATGGCAGGATCATGCTATTTTGGTTACTGTAGCTCTGTAATATAATTTGAAGTCAGATAATGTGACTCTTCCCATTTTATTCTTTTTGCTTAGGATAACATTGACAATTCTGGATTTTTAATGATTTCATAAAAATTTTATAGAAGCTTTTCTATTTATGTGAAGAATATAGTTGATATTAGGTTGGTGCAAAAGTAATTGATGTTTTTGCACTTAGAAACAACTGCGAGCCTACATCTTTTTCCCCTGCTGGATGCTTCCTGCCCTCGAACGTCGAACTCCAAGTTCTTCAGTTTTGGGACTTGGACTGGCTCTCCTTGCTCCTCAGCTTGCAGACAGCCTGTTGTGGGACCTTGTGATGATGAGGAGGAGCCAAGATGGCCGAATAGGAACAGCTCCGGTCTACAGCTCCCAGCGTGAGCGACGCAGAAGACGGGTGATTTCTGCATTTCCATCTGAGGTACCGGGTTCATCTCACTAGGGAGTGCCAGACAGTGGGCGCAGGCCAGTGTGTGTGCGCACCGTGCGCGAGCCGAAGCAGGGCGAGGCATTGCCTCACCTGGGAAGCGCAAGGGGTCAGGGAGTTCCCTTTCCGAGTCAAAGAAAGGGGTGACGGACGGCACCTGGAAAATCGGGTCACTCACACCCGAATATTGCGCTTTTCAGACCGGCTTAAGAAACGGCGCACCACGAGACTATATCCCACACCTGGCTCAGAGGGGTCCTATGCCCACGGAATCTCGCTGATTGCTAGCACAGCAGTCTGAGATCAAACTGCAAGGCGGCAACGAGGATGGGGGAGGGGCGCCCGCCATTGCCCAGGCTTGCTTAGGTAAACAAAGCAGCCGGGAAGCTCGAACTGGGTGGAGCCCACCACAGCTCAAGGAGGCCTGCCTGCCTCTGTAGGCTCCACCTCTGTGGGCAGGGCACAGACAAACAAAAAGACAGCAGTAACCTCTGCAGACTTAAGTGACCCTGTCTGACAGCTTTGAAGAGAGCAGTGGTTCTCCCAGCACGCAGCTGGAGATCTGAGAACGGGCAGACTGCCTCCTCAAGTGGGTCCCTGACCCTTGACCCCCGAGCAGCCTAACTGGGAGGCACCCCCCAGCAGGGGCACACTGACACCTCACACCGCAGGGTATTCCAACAGACCTGCAGCTGAGGGTCCTGTCTGTTAGAAGGAAAACTAACAACTAGAAAGGACATCTACACCGAAAACCCATCTGTACATCACCATCATCAAAGACAAAAAGTAGATAAAACCACAAAGATGGGGAAAAAGCAGAACAGAAAAACTGGAAACTCTAAAACGCAGAGTGCCTCTCCTCCTCCAAAGGAACACAGTTCCTCACCAGCAACAGAACAAACCTGGATGGAGAATGATTTTGATGAGCTGACAGAAGAAGGCTTCAGACGATCAAATTACTCTGAGCTACGGGAGGACATTTTAACCAAAGGCAAAGAAGTTGAAAACTTTGAAAAAAATTTAGAAGAATGTATAACTAGAATAACCAATAGAGAGAAGTGCTTAAAGGAGCTGATGGAGCTGAAAACCAAGGCTCGAGAACTACGTGAAGAATGCAGAAGCCTCAGGAGCCGATGCAATCAACTGGAAGAAAGGGTATCAGCGATGGAAGATGAAATGAATGAAATGAAGCGAGAAGGGAAGTTTAGAGAAAAAAGAATAAAAAGAAATGAGCAAAGCCTCCAAGAAATATAGGACTATGTGAAAAGACCAAACCTACGTCTGATTGGTGTACCTGAAAGTGATGTGGAGAATGGAACCAAGTTGGAAAACACTCTGCAGGATATTATCCAGGAGAACTTCCCCAATCTAGCAAGGCAGACCAACGTTCAGATTCAGGAAATACAGAGAACGCCACAAAGATACTCCTCGAGAAGAGCAACTCCAAGACACATAATTGTCAGATTCACCAAAGTTGAAATGAAGGAAAAAATGTTAAGGGCAGCCAGAGAGAAAGGTCGGGTTACCCTCAAAGGAAAGCCCATCAGACTAACAGCGGATCTCTCGGCAGAGACCCTACAAGCCAGAAGAGAGTGGGGGCCAATATTTAACATTCTTAAAGAAAAGAATTTTCAACCCAGAATTTCATATCCAGCCAAACTAAGCTTCATAAGTGAAGGAGAAATAAAATACTTTACAGACAAGCAAATGCTGAGAGATTTTGTCACCACCAGGCCTGCCCTAAAAGAGCTCCTGAAGGAAGCATTAAACATGGAAAGGAACAACCGGTACCAGCCGCTGCAAAATCATGCCAAAATGTAAAGACCATCGAGACTAGGAAGAAACTACATCAACTAATGAGCAAAATCACCAGCTAACATCATAATGACAGGATCAAATTCACACATAACAAAATTAACTTTAAATATAAATGGACTAAATTCTGCAATTAAAAGACACAGACTGGCAAGTTGGATAAAGAGTCAAGACCCATCAGTGTGCTGTATTCAGGAAACCCATCTCACATGCAGAGACACACATAGGCTCAAAATAAAAGGATGGAGGAAGATCTACCAAGCCAATGGAAAACAAAAAAAGGCAGGGGTTGCAATCCTAGTCTCTGATAAAACAGACTTTAAACCAACAAAGATCAAAAGAGACAAAGAAGGCCATTACATAATGGTAAAGGGATCAATTCAACAAGAGGAGCTAATTATCCTAAATATTTATGCACCCAATACAGGAGCACCCAGATTCATAAAGCAAGTCCTCAGTGACCTACAAAGAGACTTAGACTCCCACACATTAATAATGGGGGACTTTAACACCCCACTGTCAACATTAGACAGATCAACGAGACAGAAAGTCAACAAGGATACCCAGGAATTGAACTCAGCTCTGCACCAAGCAGACCTAATAGACATCTACAGAACTCTCCACCCCAAATCAACAGAACATACATTTTTTTCAGCACCACACCACACCTATTCCAAAATTGACCACATACTTGGAAGTAAAGCTCTCCTCAGCAAATGTAAAAGAACAGAAATTATAACAAACTATCTCTCAGACCACAGTGCAATCAAACTAGAACTCAGGATTAAGAATCTCACTCAAAGCCGCTCAACTACATGGAAACTGAACAACCTGCTCCTGAATGACTACTGGGTACATAACGAAATGAAGGCAGAAATAAAGATGTTCTTTGAAACCAACGAGAACAAAGACACCACATACCAGAATCTCTGGGACACATTCAAAGCAGTGTGTAGAGGGA
Organism: Homo sapiens; assembly: GCF_000001405.40. Classification (NCBI taxonomy): domain Eukaryota; kingdom Metazoa; phylum Chordata; class Mammalia; order Primates; family Hominidae; genus Homo; species Homo sapiens. The sequence continues at coordinate 76,325,939 of NC_000023.11, read as the reverse complement.
AATTTATAGCACTAAATGCCTACAAGAGAAAGCAGGAAAGATCCAAAATTGACACCCTAACATCACAATTAAAAGAACTAGAAAAGCAAGAGCAAACACATTCAAAAGCTAGCAGAAGGCAAGAAATAACTAAAATCAGAGCAGAACTGAAGGAAATAGAGACACAAAAAACCCTTCAAAAAATCAATGAATCCAGGAGCTGGTTTTTTGAAAGGATCAACAAAATTGATAGACCACTAGCAAGACTAATAAAGAAAAAAAGAGAGAAGAACCAAACAGACACAATAAAAAATGATAAAGGGGATATCACCACCGATCCCACAGAAATACAAACTACCATCAGAGAATACTACAAACACCTCTACGCAAATAAACTAGAAAATCTAGAAGAAATGGATACATTCCTCGACACATACACTCTCCCAAGACTAAACCAGGAAGAAGTTGAATCTCTGAATAGACCAATAACAGGCTCTGAAATTGTGGCAATAATCAATAGTTTACCAAGCAAAAAGAGTCCAGGACCAGATGGATTCACAGCCGAATTCTACCAGAGGTACAAGGAGGAACTGGTACCATTCCTTCTGAAACTATTCCAATCAATAGAAAAAGAGGGAATCCTCCCTAACTCATTTTATGAGGCCAGCATCATTCTGATACCAAAGCCGGGCAGAGACACAACCAAAAAAGAGAATTTTAGACCAATATCCTTGATGAACATTGATACAAAAATCCTCAATAAAATACGGGCAAACCGAATCCAGCAGCACATCAAAAAGCTTATCCACCATGATCAAGTGGGCTTCATCCCTGGGATGCAAGGCTGGTTCAATATACGCAAATCAATAAATGTAATCCAGCATATACACAGAGCCAAAGACAAAAACCACATGATTATCTCAATAGATGCAGAAAAAGCCTTTGACAAAATTCAACAACCCTTCATGCTAAAAACTCTCAATAAATTAGGTATTGATGGGACGTATTTCAAAATAATAAGAGCTATCTATGACAAACCCACAGCCAATATCATACTGAATGGGCAAAAACTGGAAGCATTCCCTTTGAAAACTGGCACAAGACAGGGATGCCCTCTCTCACCACTCCTATTCAACATAGTGTTGGAAGTTCTGGCCAGGGCAATCAGGCAGGAGAAGGAAATAAAGGGTATTCAATTAGGAAAAGAGGAAGTCAAATTGTCCCTGTTTGCAGACGACATGATTGTTTATCTAGAAAACCCCATCGTCTCAGCCCAAAATCTCCTTAAGCTGATAAGCAACTTCAGCAAAGTCTCAGGATACAAAATCAATGTACAAAAATCACAAGCATTCTTATACACCAACAACAGACAAACAGAGAGCCAAATCATGGGTGAACTCCCATTCACAATTGCTTCAAAGAGAATAAAATATCTAGGAATCCAACTTACAAGGGATGTGAAGGACCTCTTCAAGGAGAACTACAAACCACTGCTCAAGGAAATAAAAGAGGACACAAACAAATGGAAGAACATTCCATGCTCATGGGTAGGAAGAATCAATATCGTGAAAATGGCCATACTGCCCAAGGTAATTTACAGATTCAATGCCATCCCCATCAAGCTACCAATGACTTTCTTCACAGAATTGGAAAAAACTACTTTAAAGTTCATATGGAACCAAAAAAGAGCCCGCATTGCCAAGTCAATCCTAAGCCAAAAGAACAAAGCTGGAGGCATCACACTACCTGACTTCAAACTATACTACAAGGCTACAGTAACCAAAACAGCATGGTACTGGTACCAAAACAGAGATATAGATCAATGGAACAGAACAGAGCCCTCAGAAATAATGCCGCATATCTACAACTATCTGATCTTTGACAAACCTGACAAAAACAAGCAATGGGGAAAGGATTCCCTATTTAATAAATGGTGCTGGGAAAACTGGCTAGCCATATGTAGAAAGCTGAAACTGGATCCCTTCCTTACACCTTATACAAAAATCAATTCAAGATGGATTAAAGACTTAAACGTTAGACCTAAAACCATAAAAACCCTAGAAGAAAACCTAGGCATTACCATTCAGGACATAGGCGTGGGCAAGGACTTCATGTCCAAAACACCAAAAGCAATGGCAACAAAAGCCAAAATTGACAAATGGGATCTAATTAAACTAAAGAGCTTCTGCACAGCAAAAGAAACTACCATCAGAGTGAACAGGCAACCTACAACATGGGAGAAAATTTTCGCAACCTACTCATCTGACAAAGGGCTAATATCCAGAATCTACAATGAACTCAAACAAATTTACAAGAAAAAAACAAACAACCCCATCAAAAAGTGGACGAAGGACATGAACAGACACTTCTCAAAAGAAGACATTTATGCAGCCAAAAAACACATGAAGAAATGCTCATCATCACTGGCCATCAGAGAAATGCAAATCAAAACCACTATGAGATATCATCTCACACCAGTTAGAATGGCAATCATTAAAAAGTCAGGAAACAACAGGTGCTGGAGAGGATGTGGAGAAATAGGAACACTTTTACACTGTTGGTGCGACTGTAAACTAGTTCAACCATTGTGGAAGTCAGTGTGGCGATTCCTCAGGGATCTAGAACTAGAAATACCATTTGACCCAGCCATCCCATTACTGGGTATATACCCAAAGGACTATAAATCATGCTGCTATAAAGACACATGCACACGTATGTTTATTGCGGCACTATTCACAATAGCAAAGACTTGGAACCAACCCAAATGTCCAACAATGATAGATTGGATTAAGAAAATGTGGCACATATACACCATGGAATACTATGCAGCCATAAAAAATGATGAGTTCATATCCTTTGTAGGGACATGGATGAAATTGGAAACCATCATTCTCAGTAAACTATCGCAAGAACAAAAAACCAAACACCACATATTCTCACTCATAGGTGGGAATTGAACAATGAGATCACATGGACACAGGAAGGGGAATATCACACTCTGGGGACTGTGGTGGGGTCGGGGGAGGGGGGAGGGATAGCATTGGGAGATATACCTAATGCTAGATGACACATTAGTGGGTGCAGCGCACCAGCATGGCACATGTATACATATGTAACCAACCTGCACAATGTGCACATGTACCCTAAAACTTAGAGTATAATAAAAAAAAAAAAAAAGAAGAAGCAACTGCAATATTTGGATAGAAAATGCATTGAATCTGTAGATTGCTTTGGGAAGTGTGGACATTTTAACAATATTAATTCTTTCTATCCATGAACATAGAATTTTTTTATTTTTTCTGTCCTCTTCAATTTCTCTTATCAGTGTTTTATACTTTTCATTATAGCAATCTTTCACTACTTTGCTTAATTTCTGGGTATTTAGTTTTATGTATGGCTATTGTAAACGGAATTACTTTTTAAATTGTTTTTAGATTGTTCACTGTTGGCATATAGAAATGCTACAGATTTTTGTATGTTGATGTTGTATGCTGCAACTTTACTGAATTTATTTTTTCCAATGTTTATTAGTAAAATCTTCAGGGTTTTTCATATATAAGATAATATTATCTGCAAACAAAAATAACTTGACTTCTTTTATTCTAATTTGGATGTCCTTTATTTTTTCTGTTGACTCATTGTTCTAGCTAGGGCTTCCTGTACCATGTTAAATAACAGTGATGAAGATGGGCATTCTTGGCTTGTTCCAGATCTTGGAAAAAGTCTTTCAGTTTTTCTTTATTTAGTATTATACTAACTGTCAGTCTGTAATGTATGTCTTTTGTTGTGTTGAGGTATGTTTCTTCCACTTCCAGTTTTTGAGGGTTTTTTTTTATTATTATGAATGGATGTTGAGTTTTATCAAATGTATTTTCAGTATCAATTGAAATAATCATATGGTTTTTATACTTCATTCTGTTGATATGATATATCACATTAATTGGTTTGCATATGTTGAATGATCCTTGCATACCAGGGATAAATCTCACTTGGTCATAATGATTGCTCTTAATAATATGCTGTTGAATTCAGTTTGCTAGTATTTGTTGAGGATCTTTGCATCAATATTCATAAGTAACATTAGCCTATAGTTTTCTTTTTTCTGATGTGTCTTTTTCTGGTTTTGGTATCAGAGTAAAACTGGTCCCATAGAAGAGATTTGGAAATATTTCCTCCTCTATTTTTCCAAACAGTTCGAGTAGGATTAGTATTAGTTTTTAATTTTTACTTAAATGTTTGGAAAAATTCAGCAGTAAAGCCGTCTGTTCCCAGGCTTTTCTTCACTGGGAAACTTTTTGTTACAGCTTTGATTTCATTCCTTCTTATAAATCTGTTCAAGTTATAGATTTACTTCTGGTTCAATCTTTATAGGTTGTATGTGTCTAGGAAACTGTTCATTTCTTTTAGATTTTCCAACTTATTGGCATATAGTTGCTCATAGTAGGCACTAATAATCCATTGAATTTGTGAAGTATCTGTTGTAATGTCTCTTTTTTCATTTTTGATTGTATTTATTTGCATATTCTCTGCTTTAGTTCTTAGCCTCACCAAAGGTTTGTCAATTTTTTTAACATTTCAAAAACAATTTTTTGTTTTATTCATATTTTCTATTCTTCTCTCCATTTCAATTATATTTATTTCTTCTTTGGTCTACATTTTTTCCTTCTACTAATTTTGATATGGTTTGCTCTTACTTTTAGTTCTTTATGTTTTATCATTATATTGTTTATTTGAGATTTTTCTTCTTTTTTGATGTAGGCACCTATAGCTATTAATTTCCCTTAGTACTGCTTTGGCTGTACACCATAGGTTTTGATATATTGTGTTTTCATTATCATTTGTTTCAAAACAATTTTCAATTTCCTTCTTAATTTCTTCAGTGACCCACTGATCATTCAGAAGTATACAGTTTAATTTCCAGGTATTTATATAGTTACCAAAATTCCTATTCTTATTAATTTCTGGTTTTCCTTTATTGTGGTCAGAGAAGACGCTTGATATTATTTCAATGCTTTTGAATGTTTTAAGACTTGTTTTGTGACCTGACATAAGGTCTTTTTTGAGAATGATTCATGTGCTGAAGATAAAAATGTGCATTCTGGAGCTGTTGGATTAAACATTTATCACACAAGAGCAGCTAGATTCATAAAGCAAGTTCTTGAAGACCCTCAGGAATACTTAGATTCTCACACAATAATAGTGGGAGACTTTAACACTTCACTGACAATATTAGATCACCAGGACAGAAAATTCACAAAGATATTTAGGACTTGAACTCAGCACTGGATCAAAAAGTCCTGATAGATAGCTACAGCATTCTCCACTGAAAAACAAAACAATATGCATTTTTTCTGATTGACACATGGCACATACTCTAAAATTGATTACATAATTGGAAGTAAAACACTCCTCAGCAAATGCCAAAAAACTGAAATCATAACATATAATCTCTCAAGGACAGTGCAATCAAATTAGAAATCAAGACTAAGAAATTCACTCAAAGCCATAGAATTAGATACAAATTTTTGCAGACAATGGATTAAACAAAAGTTTAATATGCAGCATATATAAGAAACTTGAACAAATTTACAACAGCAAAACGACCTCATAAAAAAACTAATATAGAGAGACGATGTTCAAAAGAAGACATGCATGCAGCCAACAATCATATAATACAAAGCTTAATATTGCTAATCATTAGAGAAATTCAAATCTAAACAAAAATGAGTTACCATCTCACACCAGTCAGAATGGTTATTATCAAAAAGTCAAAAAATAAAGGAGGCTGGCGAGGTTTTGGAGAAAAAGGAAGGCTTATATATTGTTGATGGAAAAGTCAATTAGTGAAAACATTGTGAAAGACAGTGTGGCGATTTCTAAAAGATCTAAAGACAGAAATACCACTCGACCCAGCAATTCCATTACTGGGTATACACCCAAAGGGATTTAAATTGTTCTATTATAAAGACACATGAATGAGTGGGTCATGGTGGATAGGAGGCAAAACTAGGTTGCAGCTGTGGACAGAGCAGCATGTGGAGACTTGTACTGTGAATTTTAGCTCCAGATCGACTGAAAGAACAAACCAGCAATCCTGAGAGGACAAACAGACCCTCTGAAGGAAGCAGGCTGCCCCTACAGGACCCAGGAGACACCCCAAATACTGTGAGTGCCCTAATTGTGGAAGTGGGAAAGGGAGACCCTCCTCTCCCAAATGCACACACCCACTGAAGAAGCTGAAGGTCTGTTTGCAGGAGAAGTTTCCGACTTTACCTGGAGCCAAATCAAGTTAGAGAGCTGAACCAAGCGAAATACAGGGGTAGAGGAAGCAGTGAAAAGGCCATGGGAGCTCACGGGTTCCCCAAGCAGCCCATTCCTGCCTGGCACCATAGGGATCCATCAGGAGGGTGTCCAGATGAGCAGGGGGTAAAATTCCACAGGCAGAAGGAATTCTCTACCTAAACTTTGTAACAGTTTGAACCAGGTGAGAAGCCTCCTGGCCAGAACTCAGGGGAGGGCGTGAATCTGGCTTACAGACTTCACAGGCTGGGGAAGAACTAAAGCCCTTTTCTTTCCCAGCTGGGAGGTGGAAAGCCCAGGAAAGTTTTCAACCCTGTCTAACCCTCCACCTAGAAAAAGACTCAGGGCTGTTGTTGGGGGTATGGTGAGAGAGAGGCCAGCCCTTCAGTTTGAGTGGGAGCTTGGTGAGGCCTGTGACTACCGGCTTTCCCCCACTTCCCTGACAACCTCCATGACTCAGCAGAGATAGCCATAATCCTCCTAGGTACACAACTACAGTGACCTGCAAATCTCAACCTCATCCCCCACAGCAGCCACAGCAAGACCCACCCAAGGAGAGTCTGAGCTCAGACATGACTAGCCATACCCCCACCTGATGGTCCTTTTCTATCCACCCTGGTAGCTGAAGACAAAGGGCATATAATCTTGGGAGCTCTAGGGCCCCACCAACCACTGGTTCCTCTCCACATTATTACAGCTGATGTTTTCTGTAAAGTCCCACCTCCTGGCAGGAGGCCAACCACTTCAAAAATAGAGCATTAAATTACCAAAGCTAATGACCCTTATGGAGTCCATTGCACCCTCCACCACCTCCACTAGAACAGGACCTGGTATCCACAGCTGAGAGGCCCATAGATAGTTCACATCATAGGACTCTGTGCAGACAACCCACAGTACCAGCCCAGAGCTGGGTAAACTTACTGGGTGGCTAGACCCAGAAGAGAGACAACAATCACCGCAGTTTAGCACACAGGAAGCCACATCCACAGGAAATGAGGGGAGAGTACTACATCAAGGGAACATCCTGTGGGACAAAAAAATCTGAACAAAAGCCTTCAGCCTTAGACCCTCCCTCTGACAGAGCCTACCCAAATGAGAAGGAATGAGAAAACCATCCCTGGTAATATGACAAAACAAGGCTCATCAACAACCCCCAAAAGTCACAGTAGTTCACCAGCAATGGATCCGAACCAAGAAGAAATCGCTGATTTACCTGAGAAAGAATTGAGTATGTTAGTTATTAACTTAATCAGGGAGGCACCAGAGAAAGTCAAAGCCCAAAGCAAGGAAACCCAAAAAATAATACAAGAAGTGAATGGAGAAATATTAAAGGAAATAGATAGCCTAAAGCAAAAACAACAAAAAATTCAGGAAACTTTGGACACACTTTTAGAAATGCGAAATGCTCTGAAAAGTCTCAGCAATAGAATTGAACATGTAGAAAAAAGAAATTTAGAGCTCAAAGAGAAGGTCTTCAAATTAACCCAAGCTAACAAAGACCAAAAAAAAAAAAATAAGAAAACACGAACAAAGCCTTCAAGAACTCTGGAATTATGCTAAATAACCAATCCTAAGAATAATCAGGCCAGGTGCGGTGGCCCATGCCTGTAATCCCAGCACTTTGGGAGGCTGAGGTGGGTAGATCAAAAGGTAAGGAGATCCAGACCATCCTGGCTAACACGGTGAAACCCTGTCTCTACTAAAAACACAAAAAATTAGCCGGGCGTGGTGGTGGTCACCTGTAGTCCCAGCTACTCAAGAAGCTGAGGCAGGAGAATGGTATGAACCCAGGAGGCAGAGATTGCAGTGAGCCGAGATCACATCACTGCCCTCCAGCCTGGGTGACAGAGTGAGACTCCATCTCAAAAAAAAAAAAAAAAAAAAAAAAAAAAAAAAAAAAAAGAAGAAGAATCAGTGTTCCTGAGGAAGAAGAGAATTCTGAAAGTTTGGAAAACATATTTGGAAAAATAATGGAGGAAAACTGCTTTGGTGTTTCTAGAGACCTAGGCATGCAAATAAGAAAAGCACAAAGAACACCTGTGAAATTCATCCCCAAAAGATCTTTGCCTAGGCACACTGTCATCAGGTTATCCAAAGTTAAGACAAAGGAAAGAATCTTAAGAGCTCTGAGACAGAAGCACCAGATAACTTATAAAGGAAAACCTATCAGATTAACAGTAGACTTCTCAGCTGAAACCCTACAAGATAACAGGGATTGGGGCCCTATCTTCAGCTTCCTCAAACAAAACAATTTTTAGCCCAAAATTTTGTATCTAGCGAAACTAAGCATCATATATGAAGGAAAGATACAGTCGTTTTCAGACCAAAAAAAAAAATGCTGAGAACATTCACCATTACCAAGCCACCACTACAAAAACTGCTAAAGGGAGCTCTAAATTTTGAAACAAATGCTGGAAACACATCAAAAGAGAAGATCTTTAAAGCATAAATCACACACGACTTATAAAACAAAAATAGAAGTTAAAGCACAAAGCAAGCAAACAAACAAAACAGTGTACACAGGAAATAAAGAGCATGATGAACCCAACGACCTCACATTTCAATACAAATATTGAATGTACATGGCCTAAATGTTCCACTTAAAAGATACAAAATTGCAGAATGGGTAAGAGCTCACCAATGATCTGCTGCCTTCAGGAGACCCACATAAGACATAAGAACTCTCATAAACTTAAAGTAAAAGGGTGGAAAAAGGAAATTCGTGGAAGTGGACACCAAAGGTGAGAAGAGCTGGCTATTTTTATATCAGACAAAACAAACTTTAAGGCAATGGAAGTTAAAAGAGACAAAGGGGGACATTACATAATGCTAAAAGGCCGTGTCTGAAAGGGATGCCTTCTCTCACCACTCCTATTCAACATAGTGTTGGAAGTTCTGGCCAGGGCAATCAGGCAGGAGAAGGAAAAAAAGGTATTCCATTAGGAAAAGGGGAAGTCAAATTGTCCCTGTTTGTAGATGACAAGATTGTATATCTAGAAAACCCCATCATCTCAGCCCAAAATCTCCTTAAGCTGATAAGCAACTTCAGCAAAGTCTCAGGATACAAAATCAATGTGCAAAAATCACAAGCATTCTTGTACACCAATAACAGACAAACAGAGAGCCAAATCATGAGTGAACTCCCATTCACAATTGCTTCAAAGAGAATTAAATACCTAGGAATCCAACTTACAAGGGATGTGAAGGACCTCTTCAAGGAGAACTACAAACCACTGCTCAATGAAATCAAAGAGGATACAAACAAATGGAAGAACATTCCGTGCTCATGGGTAGGAAGAATCAATATCGTGAAAATGACCATACTGCCCAAGGTAATTTATAGATTCAATGCCATCTCCATCAAGCTACCAATGACTTTCTTCACAGAATTGGAAAAAACTACTTTAAAGTTCATATGGAACCAAAAAGGAGCTCACATTGCCAAGTCAATCTTAAGCCAAAAGAACAAAGCTGGAGGCATCATGCTACCTGACTTCAAACTATACTACAAGGCTACAGTAACCAAAACAGCATGCTACTGGTACCAAAACAGAGATATAGACCAATGGAACAGAACAGAGCCCTCAGAAATTGTGTCACATATCTACAACTATCTGATCTTCGACAAACCTGAGAAAAACAAGAAATGGGGAAAGGATTCCTTATTTAATAAATGGTGTTGATAAAACTGGCTAGCCAGATGCAGAAAGCTGAAACTGGGTCCCTTCCTTACACCTTATACAAAAATTAATTCAAGATGGATTAAAGACTTAAATGTTAGACCTAAAACCATAAAAGCCCTGAAAGAAAACCTAGGCAATACCATTCAGGACATAGGCATGGGCAAGGACTTCATGTCTAAAACACCAAAAGCAATGGCAACAAAAGACAAAATTGACAAATGGGATCTAATTAAACTAAAGAGCTTCTGCACAGCAAAAGAAACTACCATCAGAGTGAACAGGCAACATACAGAACGGGAGAAAATTTTTGCAATCTACTCATCTTTCAAAGGGCTAATATCCAGAATCTACAATGAACTCAAGCAAATTTACAAGAAAAAAACAAACAACCCCATCAAAAAGTGGGCGAAGGATATGAACAGACACTTCTCAAAAGAAGATATTTATGCAGCCAAAAGACACATGAAAAAATGCTCATTACCACTGGCCATCAGAGAAACGCAAATCAAAACCACAATGAGATACCATCTCTCACCAGTTAGAATGGTGACCATTAAAAAGTCAGGAAATAACAGGTGCTGGAGAGGATGTGGAGAAATAGGAACACTTTTACACTGTTGGTGGGACTGGAAACTAGTTCAACCATTGTGGAAGACAGTGTGGCGATTCCTCAAGGTCCTAGAATTAGAAATACCATTTGACCCAGCAGTCCCATTACTAGGTATACACCCAAAGGATTATAAATCATGCTGCTATAAAGACACATGCACACGTATGTTTATTGTGGCACTATTCACAAGAGCAAAGACTTGGAACCAACCCAAATGTCCAACAATGATAGACTCTATTAAGAAAATGTGGCACATATACACCATGGAATACTATGCAGCCATAGAAAAGGATGAGTTCATGTCCTTTGTAGGGACATGGGTGAAGCTGGAAACCATCATTCTCAACAAACTATCACAAGGACAAAAAACCAAACACTGCAGGTTCTCACTCATCGGTGGAAATTGAATGATGAGAACACATGGACACAGGAAGGGGAACATCACACACCAGGGCCTGTATTGGGGTGGGCGGAGGGGGGAGGGATAGCATTAGGAGATATACCTAATGTTAAATGACGAGTTAGTGGGTGCAGCACACCAACATGGCACATGTATACATATGTAACTAACCTGCACGTTGTGCACATGTACCCTAAAACTTAAAGTATAATAAAAAGTAAAAATAAAAAATAATAAAAGGCCTTGTCCAACAGGAAAATATGACAATCCTAAACATATATGCACCTAACACTGGAGCTCCCAAATTAATAAAACAATTAGTAATAGACCTAAAAAATGAGATATACAGCAACACAATGATAGTGGGGGATTTCAATACTCCACTGACAGCACTAGACAGGTCATCAAGACAGAAAGTCAACAAAGAAACAATGGATTTAAACTATACCTTGGAATAGATGGACTTAACAGATATATACAGAACATTTCATTCAACAACTGCAGAATACACATTCTATTCAACAGCACACGAAATTTCCTCCAAGATGGACCATATAATAGGTTACAATATGAGCCTCAGTAAATTTAGGAAAATTGAAATTATATCAAGCACTCTCTCAGACCACAGTGAAATAAAACTGGAAATCAATCCCAACAGGAAACTTCAAAAACATGTAAATACATGGAAATTATGTAACTGTCCCAGAATGAGCATTGGGTCAAAAACAAAATCAAGATGGAAATTCAAAAATTCTTCCAACTGAATCACAAGAACAACAAAACCTATCAAAACCTCTTGGATACAGCTGAGACAGTGCTAAGAGGAAAGTTCATACCCCTAAATGCCTACATCAAAAAGACTGAAAGAGCACAAACATTCAATCTGCGGCCACACCTGATGGAAATAGAGAAACAAGAGCAAAGCAAATGCAAACACAGCAGAAGAAAAGAAATAACCAAGATCAGAGCAGACCTAAATAAAAATGAAACAAAAAAATACAAAAGATAAATGAAGGAAAAATCTGGTTTTTTGAAAAGATAAATAATATTGATAGACCATTAGCAAGATTAACCAAGAAAAGAAGAGAGAAAATCCAACTAACCTCACTAAGAAACAAAACAAGAGATATTACAGCTGACACCACTGAAATACGGAAGATCATTTAACGCTATTATGAACACCTTTACACACATAAATAGAAAATCTAGAACAGGTGGATAAATTCCTGGAAAAATACAACCCTCCTAGCTTAAATCAGGAAGAATTAGATCCCCTGAATAGAACAATAACAAGCAGCAAGATTGAAATGGTAATTTAAAAATTACCAACAACAACAACAACAACCAAAGTCTAGGAGCAGATGGATTCACAGCAGAATTTTACCGAACATTCAAAAAAGAATTGGTACCAATCCTTTTGATACTATTCCACAGTATAGAGAAAGAAGGAATTTTCCCTAATTAAATCTGTGAAGCCAACATCACCCTAATACCAAAACCAGGAAAGGACACAACCAAAAAGAAAACTGCAGACTGATATTCTTGATGAATATAGATGCTAAAATCCTTAACAAAATACCAGCTAACTGAATCCAACAACTTATCAAAAAGATAATCCACCATGATCAAGTGAGTTTCATACCAGGAATGCAGGAATGGTTTAACATACACAAGTCAATAAGTGTGATACACCACATAAACAGAATTAAAAACAAAAATCACATGATCATCTCAACAGATGCAGAAAAAGCATTCAAAAAAATCCACCATCACTTTATTATTAAAACTCTCATCAAAATCAGCAAACATGGAACATACCTTAATGTAATAGAAGCCATCTGTGATGAACCCACAGCCAACATAATACTGACTGGGGAAAAGTTGAAAGCACTCTCTCTGAGAACAGGAACAAGACAAGAATGTCCACTCTCACCACTCCTCTTCAACATAGTACTGGTAGTCTTAGCCAGAACAATCAGACAAGTGAAAGATGTACAGGGCATCCAAATCGGTGAAGAGAAAGTCAAACTGTCTCTGTTTGACGACTGTATTATCATTTACCTTGAAAATCCTAAGGACTCCTCAGGAAAGCTCCTAGAACTGATAAAATAATTCAGCAAACTATCTGGATACAAGATTAATGTACACAAATCAGTAGCTCTTGTACACATCAACAGCAACCAAGTGGAGAATCAAATCAAGAACTCAACCCCTTTTACAATAGCTGCAAACAAGTAAAATAAAATACTTAGGAATATGCCTAACCAAGGAGTCAAAAGACCTCTACAAGGAAAACTACAAAACACTGCTGAAAAAAATCATAGACAACACAAACAAATGGAAACACATTCCATGCTCATGGACCATTAGAATCAATATTGTAAAAATGACCATACTTCTGAAAGCAATCTACAGATTCAATTCAATCCCCATCAAAGTAACACCATCATTCTTCACAGAGACAAAGAATACAATTCATATGGAATAAAAGAAAAAGAGCCTGCAAAGCCAAAGCAAGGTTAAGCAAAAAGAACAAAACCGGAGGCATCACACTACCTGGTTTCAAACTATACTCTAAGGCCATAGTCACCAAAACAGAGTGGCACAGGTATAAAAATAGGCACTTAGACCAATGGAACAGAATAGAGAACCCAGAAATAAGCCCAAATACTTACAGCTAACTGATCTTTGACAAAGCAAACAAAAACAAAAAGTGGGGAAAGGACACCCTTTTCAACTAATGGTGCTGGGATAATTGGCTAGCCACATGTAGGAGTATGAAACTGGACCCTCATCTCTCACCTTATACAAAAATCAACACAGGACGGATTAGAGACTTAAACGTAAGAGCTGAAACTATAAAAATTCTAGAAAATATCACTGGAAAAACCCTTCTAGACATTGGCTTAGCCAAGGATTTTGTGACCAAAATCCCCAAATCAAATTCAATAAAAACAAAGATAAATAGCTGGGACCCAATTAGACTAAAGAGCTTTTGTATGGCGAAAGGAACAGTCAGCAAAGTAAACAGAAAACCGGCAAAGTGGGAGAAAATCTTCACAATCTATACAATCTATACAATCTGACAAAGGACTAATATTCAGAATCTACAACAAACTCAAACCAATCAAAAAAAAAATGAACAATCTCATTAAAAAGTGGGCTAAGTACACAAATAGACAATTCTCAAAACAAGATAGAAAAATGTCCACCAAACATATGAAAAAATGATCAACATCACTAATGATCAGGGAAATGCAAATCAAAACCACAATGCAATATGACCTTACTCCTGCAAGAATGGCTGTAATCAAAAAATCAAAAAATAGTAGATGTTGGCATGGATGCGGTGATCAGGGAACACTTCTACACTGCTGGTGGGAACGTAAACTAGTACAGCCACCATGGAAAAAAGTGTGGAGATTCCTTAAAGAATTAAAAGTAGAACAACAATTTGATCCAACAATCCCACTACTGGGTATCTACTGCAAGGAAAATAAGTCATTATTCAAAAAAGACACTTGCACATGCATGTTTATAGCAGCACAATTCACAATTGCAAAATCGTGGAACCAATCCGAATGCCCATCAATCAATGAGTGAATAAAGAAACTTTGGAATATATATATATATATATATTTATTTATATATATATATTTGGTATATATTTATTTATATATATATTTGATATATATATTTATATATATATTTGAGATATATATCTTTGGTATATATATATATTTATATATATTTGATATATATATATATTTGATATATATATTTATATATATATATTTGGTATATATATATTTATATATATATTTGGTATATATATATTTATATATATATATTTGGTATATATATTTATATATATATATTTGGTATATATATATTTATATATATATTTGGTATATATATATTTATATATATATTTGGTATATATATATTTATATATATATATTTGGTATATATATTTATATATATTTTTGGTATATATATATTTGATATATATATGTATATATATATTTGGTATATATATTTATATATATTTGTTATATATATTTATATATATATTTGGTATATATATTTATATATATATATTTGGTATATATATTTGGTGTATATATATATATATAAATATATATATATAAATATATATATATAAATATATATATATAAATATATATATATAAATATATATATATAAATATATATATATATAAATATATATATATAAATATATATATATAAATATATATATATAAATATATATATATAAATATATATATATATATAAGCAGAATACTACTCAGCCATAAATGGGAATGAATCAACAGCATTTGAAGTGACCTGGATGAGATTGAAGACTATAAATCTAAGTGGGGTAACTCAGGAATGGAAAACCAAACATCGTATGTTCTCATCGATATTTGGGAGATAAGCTGTGAGGATGTAAAAGCATAAGAATGATACAATGGACTTTGGGGACTCGGGGGGAAGAGTGGGAGGTGGGGAGGGATAAAAGACTGCAAATATGGTGGAGTGTACAGCGCTCGGGTGGTGGGTGAAACAAAATCTCACAAATCACCATGAAAGAACTTAGTTATGTAACCAAATACCACCTGTACCCCATTAACTTATGGAAAAATAAAGTAAAATAATAAAAATTTTTAAAAATAAAATAAAGACATATGCACAGGAATGTTTATCGTCGCACTATTCACAGTAGCAAAGACATGGAATCAATCTAAATAATCATCAATGATAGGCTGGATAAAGAAAATGTGATACATACACACTATGAAAAACTATGCTACCATAAAAAAAAAAATGTGATCATGTCCTTTGCAGAGATATGAATGAAGCTGAAGGCCGTTTTTCTTAGCAAACTAATGCAGGAACAGAAAACCAAATACCACATGTTCTCACTCATAAGTGAGAGCTAAATGATAAGAACACACGGACACATAGGGGAACAACATAGACTGAAGCCTATCAGCGGGTGCAGGATAGGAAGAGGGAGAGGACAAGGAAAAATAACTGATGGGTACTAGGCTTAATAGCTGGACGATGAAACAGTCTGTACAACAAAGCCCCATGACACAAGTTTACCTATGTAACAAACGTGAATGTTTACCCCTGAACTTAAAATAAAAATTTTAAACAAAGGATACCCTGCTCTTTGAGGCAACATCAATAAACCTGGAGGATATGTTAAATGAATTAAGCCAGACACAGAGAGAAAAACATTGCATGATCTCACTTATATTTGAAATCTAAAGTATTTAAACTTATAAAAAAGCAGAAAGCAAAAAGATGTTTGCTCGGGGCTGAGGGCAGGTGTAAGGAAAATGGGAAGATGTTGGTCAAAGGATACAAACTTTCATTATAAGATGAATAATGTAGAGCATGGTGACTATAGTTAATAATGTATTATAAATTTTAAATTTGATATGAGAAAATTTAAGTGTACTCACTACACAAACACACAAACATATACACACAATGTGAATTATAGGTGGTAATTGGCATGGTAATTTTATTTTGGTAAACATTATACCATGTAAAATTATATATAATCATTACATTGTACATGTTGAATATATATAGTTTCACCAATTAAATTTTTTACAATTTAAAAAGCCTCAAAACGTAGTCAAGAACTGAAAAAATACTATTTCTTAGAAGAAAATTACACTGTATGGGTCTATTAGCATATTTAACACTTCAGATGTAAACATTACTGAAAATAGACATATCAGTAGAAATAATCTAATAATGAAACACAGAAAAAACCTGACAATATAAGTATAGCATCACTGACCTTTTGGACAACTGAGGAGATAATGAAACACAGAAAAAACCTGAAAATATAAGTATAGCATCACTGACTTGTTGGACAACTTTAGGTGACATAATACAAGTATAATTTGACTGGTCAAAGAAGAAGAGAGAATAAGACAGAAAACATTTTAAAAAATAATGGCTAAAATTTTAAAAAATTTGATAAATACTATAATTCCATAGATTCAATAAATAGAAATAAAACTACATTAAGCACATCATAATCAAATTGCTTAAAACCTATGAAAAATATAATATCTTCTTTTTTTTTTTTTTTTTTTTGACAGGGTCTCATTCTGCTACCCAAGCTGGAGTGCAGTGGCACAATTGTGACTCATTGCAGCCTTGACCGCCCAGGGTCAAGTGATTCTCCCTCCTCAGCCTCCTGAGTAGCTGGGACTACAGGCACACACCAACATACCTGGCCAATTTTTATATTTGTTTTTTAGAGACAGGGTTTTTTCATGTTGCCCAGACTAGTCTTGAATCCCTGAGCTCATGGGATTTCACTGTCTTGGCCTCCCAAAGTGCTGGAATTACAGGTATGAACTACAATGCCTGGCCAGAGTATTTTAAAGGCACTCAGAGAAAAAAGAAGATGCATTAGGTACCAAATAACAAAGATGATGATAATATCAAATGTGCTGGTGAGAATCAAAGATAGATGAGAGCAAAGCAACATCTCTATAGCATGAAAGAAAAAAAATTTAAACCTAGATCTCTATACCCAGTAAAGAATCTCTCAAAAATAAAGAAAATTGCAGATATATTTTAGATTTATGAAGTGTAAAGAATTCATCACTGGCAGACTGTATGACAAGAAATGTTGAAGTAAGTTTATCAGACAGAAAAAAATAATAAAAGATAGAAATCTGAATCTATACAAAGAAATGGAGAGCCACAGAGTTGGTAACAACATATAAGACATTTTCTCATAATCTAAATCTTTTTAAAAATAATTTACTGTTTATAAGAAATAATAATAAATTTGGGGCTTATAACAAACACAAAAGTAAAATGGATGATAAAACTAAGGCAAAGGTCAGAAGAAGAAAAATGGAAGTATACTGTTGCAGTGTTCTTGTAATATATATGTATTTTTATATGGTTACTTGGAGGAACAATGTTATAAGCCAAAGTTGTAAACTATAAATATGAAAGAAAAAAAGCCCCAAGCAAAATCAAGGGTTGTAGCTAATAATCCAACTGAGGAGATAAAATGGAATAACAAAAATTATTGATTAATGCAAAAACAAGGAAAAAAGAAAAGAAGAATAAAGAACAGATTAGAGAAATAAAAACAGAGAGCAAAATGGCAGAATAGAAAGCTCCACTGATTGTCCCCCACACAAGGAGATCAATTTAACAACTATCTACACAAAAATGCACCTTTGTAAAAACTAAAAATTAGGTGAGCAGTCACAGAACATGGCTTCACGTTCATATAACCAAAAGCAGCACTGAAGAGGTAGGAAAAACAGTTTTGAATTGCCAAAGCCACTCCTCTCTGACCCCCTGGCAGTGGTGGCATGATGCAGAGAGCATTTATATGCTCTGGAGAGAGGGAGAGCCAGCAACTGTGAGATATTAAACTAAATGCTGCCCTTGTTATAACAGAAAAATAAATTAAGCTGATGCCCACTCAGAGTGTAATTTTAAACCAATCCTAGGTAGAGGGAATCTGCCAATGCCAGTGGTCAGAACTTGAGTTCCAGCAAGCCTCAACAGCATGGGCTAAGGTGCTCTGAAGCTCCAAGTAAACTTGAAAGGTAGTCTATACCACAAACACTGCAACTGCTTGGTCAGTTCTAGGGCTGAACTGGGCCCAGAGGCTGGACGTGGGGAGCACATGCCCTACTGAGACACCAGGTGGGGCAGCTAAGAGAGTGCTGGCAGTTATCCTCCACAAGCCCCAGGCTGCACAGTTCATGGCTCCAAAAGAGAACCGTTCCTTCCACTTGAGGAAAGGAGATAGAAGAGTGGGGAATACTTGTCTTGTTTCTTAAAAAACAGCTCAGCCAAAGGAGAATAGGGCACTAGTCAGCGTCGTTAGGCCCCTGTTACAGGCCCTAGCTCCTGGATGACGTTTCTAGAAACACTCTGGGGCAGTAGGGGACTCATTGGTTTGAAGGAAAGGACCCAGTTGTGGAAGATTCATTACCTGCTAACTGAAGAGACTTTGGGTCCTGAATAACCTGCAGTGATATCCAGGAACTGTGTTGAAAGCCTTGGGTGAGATGCTGAGACTTGCTGGCCTCAGGTAAGTCTCATCGCATTTCCAGCTGTGCTGGCTACAAGGCAAGCCTCCTTCTGCTTGAGAAAAGTGGAGAAAAAAGTAAAGGGTACTTTGTGTTGCACCTCAGATATCAGCTCGGCCACAGAGTGGTAAATGAGAAAGTGGGCTCTTGGAATTCCCAATTCCAGACCTTGACTCTAGGATAGCATCTCTGGACATGGCCTGGGCCAGAAGGGAGCCCATTTCACTGAAGGGTGAGTCCCAGACCAAACAGCAGTTACCACAAGCTGACTAAAATGCCCTTGAGACAAAAGAGAATATTGGCAGCAGTTTGGCAGTACTCTCAGTGGGCCTGAGATGGCAGTGGCCATAGGGTGAGGAACCTCTGCCTTTATAAACAAAAAGAAAGAGTGGAAAGGGCTGCATCTTGTGATTTGAGCACCAGCTCAGCTTCAGTACAATAGAACACCAAGTGGGCTTCTAAGGTTTTTGACTCTAGTCCCTCAATCCAAGACAGCATCTCTGTACCTGGCTGTGGCCTGAGGGAACTCACCACTTTGAAAGGAAGAACAAAGGCCTGGCTGGCTTTGCCACCTGACTGCAGAGCTCCAGAGCTTTCAGCAGAAATAGATACTAATGAGGGAGTGATTACAGAAGGCCTTGGATAAGACCAAGTGCTATGCTGGCTTCAAGTGTGACCCAGCATATTCTAGGGATGGTGACAACATGAGTGCTTTTTTCTCTCTATCCCAAGCTATAGGTGGCTCAGGAGAGACAGACAGAGAGAGAGAGAGAGAGAGAGAGAGAGAGAGAGAGAGATTTTGTCTGTTTGGGAGAAAGTAAAATAAGAGAACAAGAGTCTCTGCCTATTAATCAAGAGAAATCTTCTAAATCTTGTCCAAGACCAACAAAGCAGTACCTCTATGAGTTGACAAGAACTAGAGCATTACTAAACTTTGGGTTCCCCTAAAGTTTATATCACAACACCCAAGTAATTTTGAATATTTGAAAAACATTTCAAAGAAGAAAGAGTACAAATGAGCCCAGACAGCAAAGACTAAAATAAATACCAAATTGTTGAACGCCCAGGCTCAAAAATCTACAAGTATCAAGATGGTCCATGAAATCATGACTTCACCACATGAACTAAATAAGGTACCAGGGACCAATGCTGGAGAAACAGAAATATGTGAACTTTCAGAGAGATCATTTAAATTAGCTGTGTTGAAGAAACTCAAAGAAATTCAAGATAACATAGAAAAGAAATTCAGAATTTTATAAGATTAATAAAAAGATTGAAATAAATTTTAAAAAGCAAGCAGAAATTCTGGAGCTGAAGAATGCAATTGGCATACTTAAAAGCACAACAGAATCTATTCATAGAAAAATTTGATGAGTTCATGTCCTTTGTAGGGACATGGATGAAGCTGGAAACTATCATTCTCAGCAAACTATCACAAGGACAAAAAACCAAACATTGCACATTCTCACTTACAGGTGGGAATTGAACAATGAGAACACATGGACACAGGAAGGGAACATCACACACCGGGGCCTGTTGTGGAGTGGGGGGAGGAGGGAGGGATAGCATTAGGAGATATACCTAATTTTTTTTTGGCTTTAAATACTTTTATTGACCTCATTGTTAAAAATCCTCACAGAAGTCAGTATTACAGATAAAAGAAATGAATTTTCAATTTTAACTAAACCTCATTTTTCTTCCCTACTTGTTACATGTAGTTGGAGTTGATAGTAAGATATGCAATTTTGCTCAGGCAAATAAGTAAAGAATAAAATATTTATAAAAATCAGAAGGTATACTTGCTTAGGTCTTTGAGTGTCTTTTTCAAAAGGCCTTAAATCCCTATGGATTAATCAAGCACATCTCAGATATTGTCCTTACAATGCTCAGGAAAGAAATGGCCCCTAATAGGATAAAAGGCACATTACGATCTGAACTTGAGAATTTGCCTGGAAATTTTTCTTTTTATTATTTTTGTTTTTATTTTTATTTTTATTTTATTATTATTATACTTTAAGTTTTAGGGTACATGTGCACAATGTGCAGGTTAGTTACATATGTATACATGTGCCATGCTGGTGTGCTGCACCCATTAACTCGTCATTTAGCATTAGGTAGAGATATACCTAATGTAACTAACCTGCACATTGTGCGCATGTACCCTAAAACTTAAAGTATAATTTTAAAAAATAAAATAAAATAAAAAAGAAAAATTATTCAAGCAGAAGAAGAAATTGGTGAGCTTTAAGACAGGCTATTTCGATATACACATTCAGGAGACAAAATAAAAAATAATAGAGCATGTGTCCAGGATCCAGAGAATAGCCTCAAAAGGGCAAATTTTAGAGTAATTGGCTTAAAGGAGAGGTAGAGAAAGAGATAAGGGTGGAAAGGGTATTCAAAGAGATAATAAGAAACAACTTCTCGAACTTAGAGAAAGATATCAATATCCAAGTACAAGAGGTGACAGAACAGCAACCAGATGTAAAACAAAGAAGACTGCCTCAAAATATTTAATAATCAAACTCCCAAAGGTCAAGTATAAATCATTTTAAAAGCAGCAAGAAGATATAAACAAATAATATACAGTGGAGCTCCAGTATGTATGGCAGCAGACTTTTCAGTGGAAATCTTAAAGCCCAGGGGAGAGTGACATGACATATTTAAAGGCTAAAAGACAAGAACTTTCACCTTAAAATAGTATATATGGTGGAATTACCCTTAAAACATAAAAAGGAAATAAAGAATTTTCTAGGCAAAAAAAAAAGTTGAAGAATTTTATCCACATCAGAACTGTCATACATAAAAATGCTGAAGGGAGTACTTCAGTCAAAAAAAAATGACAGTAATGAGCAATAAGATATCACCTGAAGGTACAAAACTTACAGGTAATAGTAGGTACACAGAAAAACACAAGATATTATAATACTGTAACTGTGGTGTGTAAACTACCCTTATCTTAAGTACAAAGACTAAACAAGGGTGGGCTGACAAGATGGCCAAATAGAAAGAGCTCCATTCCGCAGCTCCAAGCAAGATCGACAAAGAAGATGGGTGATTTCTGTATTTCCAACTGAGGTACGTGGTTATTCTCTTTGGGAGTGGTTGGACATTGGGTGCAGCCCATGGAGGGCGAGCCAAAGCAGGGTGGGGCGTCACCTCACCCAGGAAGCACAAGGGGTCAGGCAATTTCTGCCCCTTGCCAAGGGAAGCCGTGAGGGGCTGTGCCATGAGGAATGGTGCACTCCGGACCAGATAGTGTGCTTTTCCCACTGTCTTCACAACCCACAGAACAGGAGATTCCCTCTGGTGCCTATACCACGAGGGTCCTGGGTTTAAAGCACAAAACTGGGTGGCCATTTGGGCAGACACCAAGCTAGTTGTGGGAGTTTTTTTTCATACCCCAGTAGCACTCGCAACACCAGCGAGACAGAACCGTTCACACCCCTGGAAAGAAGGCTGAACCCAGAGAGCCAAGTAGTGTAGCTCAGTGGGTCTCACGTCCATGGAGCCCAGCAAGCTAAGATCCACTGGCTTGAAATTCCCACTGCAAGCACAGCAGTCTAAGGTCGACCTGGGAAAGTTAACTTGGTGGGAGAAGGGACATCCACCATTGCTAAGGATTGAGTAGGTGGTTTTACCCTCACAGTGTATACAAAGCTACTGGGAAGTTCAAACTGGGTGACACCAACCCCAGCTCAGCAAGGCCCCTGCAGCCAGACTGCCTCTCTAGATTCCTTCTCTCTGGGCAGGGCCTCTCTGAAAAAAAAAAAGGCAGCAGCCCCAGTCAGAGACTTATAGATAAAACCCCCAACTCCCTGGGACAGAGCACCTGGGGGAAGGGGCAGCGGTAGTCTCAGCTTCCGCAGGCTTAAAGCTCCCTGCCTGATGGTTCCAAAAAGAGCAGCGGATCTGCCAGCACAGTGTTTGAGCTCTGATAAAGGTCAGACTGCCTCGTCAAGTGGGTCCCTGAACCCCGTGTATCCTGACTGGAAGACACCTCCAAGTAGGGGTCGACAGACACCTCATACAGGAGAGCTCTGGCTGGCATCTGGCGGGTTCCCCTCTGAGACAAAGCTGCCAGAGGAATGAACAGGAAGCAATCTTTGCTATACTGCAGCCTCTGCAGGAGATACCCAGGAAAACAGGGTCTGGAGTGGACCTCCAGAAAACTCCAGCAGACCTGCAGCAGAGGGGCCTGACTGTTAGAAAAAAAACACTAACAAACAGAAAGGAATAGTATCAACATCAACAAAAAGGATGTCCACCCAGAGACCCCATCCGAAGGTCACCAGCATCAAAGACCAAAGGTAGATCAATCCATGAAGATGGGGATAAACCAGCACAAAAAGGTGGAAAATTCGAAAAACCAGAACACCTCTTCTCCAAAAAAGAGCAACTGCTCACCAGCAAGGGAACAAAACTGGACAGTTAATGAGTTTGACGAATTGACAGAAGTAGGCTGCAGAAAGTGGGTAATAACAGACTTCTCCGAGCTAAAGGGGCATGTTGTAAACTAATACAAGGAATCTAAAAACCTTAAAAAAAAGGTTAGACAAATTGCTAACTAGAATAATCACTTTAGAGTAGAATATAAATGACCTGATGGAGCTGAAAAACACAGCATGATAATTTCTGAAACATACACAGGTATCAATAGCCAAATCAATCAAGTAGTAGAAAGAATATCAGAGATTGAAGATCATCTTAATAAAATAAAGCATGAAGATAAGATTAGAGAAAAAAGAATGAAAAGAAATGAACAAAGCCTCTAAGAAATATGGGACTATGTGAAAAGACAAAATCTACATTTCATTGGTGTACCTGAAAGTGACAGGGAGAATGAACCAAGTTTGAAAATAACCTTCAAGATGTTATCAAGGAGAGATTTCCCAACCTAGCAAGACAAGCCAACATTCAAATTCAGGAAATACACAGAACACCACAAAGATACTCCTTGAGAAGAGCATCCCTAAGACATATCAACATCAGATTCACCAAGGTTGAAATGAAGAAAAAAATGTTAAGGACAGCCAGAGAAAGGGCAGGTTACCCACAAAGGGGAGACCATCAGACTAACAGCAGATCTCTCAGCAGAAACCCTACAAGCCAGAAGAGGGTGGGGGCCAATATTCAACATTCTTAAAGGAAAGAATTTTCAACTCAGAGGTTTATATCCAGCCAAACTAAGCTTCATAAGTGAAGGAGAAAATAAAATCCTTTACAGACAAGTAAATGCTGAGAGATTTTGTCACCACCAGGCCTGCATTACAAGAGCCCCGGAAGGAAGCACTAAGCATGGAAAGGAACAACTTGTACCAGCCACTGCAAAAATATAACAAATTGTAAAGACCATCAATGCTATGAAGAAACTGCATCAACTAATGGGCAAAATAACCAGCTACTATCATAATGACAGGATCAAATTCACACATAACAATATTAACCTTAATTGTAAATGGGCTAAGTACCCCAATTAAAAGACACAGAATGGCAAATTGGATAGAGTGAAGGCCCATCGATGTGCTGTATTCAGAAGAACCATTTCAAGTGCAAAGACACATAGAGGCTCAAAATAAAGAAATGGAGGAATATTTACCAAGCAAATGGAAAGCAAAAAAAAAAAAAAAAAAAAAAAGCAAAGATTGCAATCCTAGTCTCTGATAAAACAGACTTCAAACCAACAAAGATAAAAAGTGACAAATAAATGCATTACATAATGGTAAAGGGATCAGTTCAACAAGAAGAGCTAACTATCCTAAATATATATACACCCAACACAGGAGCACCTAGATTCATAAAGCAAGTTCTTAGAGACCTACAAAGAGACTTAGACCCCCACACAATAATAGTGGGAGATGTTAACACTCCACTGTCAATATTAGACAGATCAACAAGACAGAAAATTAACAAGGATATTCAGGACTTGAACTCAGCTCTGGATCAAGTGGATAATAGACATCTACAGAACTCTCCACTTCAATCGACAGAATATGTATTCTTCTCAGCACCACATTGCACTTATTCTAAAATTGGCCACATAATTGGAAGTAAAACACTCCTCAGCAAATGCAAAAATGGAAATCACATCAGTCTCTCAGACCACAGTGCAATCAAATTAGAACTCAGGATTAAGAAACTCACTCAAAACTGCACAACTACATGAAAACTGAACAACAGGCTCCTGAATGACTACTGGGTAAATAAAGAAATTAAGACAGAGATGAAGATGTTCTTTGAAACCAATGAGAACAAAGACAAAACATACCAGAATCTCTGGGACACATTTAAAGCAGTGTTTAAAGAGAAATTTATAGCACTAAACACCCACAAGAGAAAGCAAGAAAGATCTAAAATCAGCACCCTAACATCACAATTAAAAGAACTACAGGCAACATGGCAGAATAGGAACAGCACCAGTCTGCAGCTCCCAGTGACATCAACACAGAAGGCGGTTGATTTCTGCATTTCCAACTGAGGTACATGGTTCATCTCATTGGGACTGGTTGGACAGTGGGTGCAGCCCACGGAGGCTGAGCTGAAGCAGGGTGGGGTGTTGCCTCAACTGGGAAGTGCAAGGGGTCAAGGAATTTCCCCCCCTACCCAAGGGAAGCCATGAGGGTCTGAGCCTGAGGAACTCCAGGACAGATACTGCGCTAGTCCCATGGTCTTCACAACCTGCAAACCAGGAGATTCTCTCTGGTGACTACCCCACTGGAGCCCTGGGTTTCAAGCACAAAACTGTGCGGCCAATTGGGCAGACACCCAACTAGCTGCAGGAGGTTCTTCTTTTTTTTCCATATTCAGTCGTGCCTGGAATGCTGGAAAGGGGGTTTGAAGCCAGGGAGCCAAGTGGTCTGGCTTGGCGGGTTCCACCCCCATAGAGCCCAGGAATCTAAGATTTACTGGCTTGAAATTCTCATTACCAGCACAGCAGCAATCTCAGATCCATCTGGGAAGGTCCAGCTTGGTGGGGGGAGGTGCGTCCGCCATTGTTGAGGCTACAGTAGGTGGTTTTATGGCCACAGTGTAAACAAAGCTGCTGGGAAGTTTGAACTGTGTGGAGCCCACTGCAGCTCAACAAGGCTTCTGTGGCCAGACGACCAGATTGCTTCTCTCTGGAAAGGGCATCTCTGTAAAAAAAGACAGCAGCCCCAGTCAGGAGCTTATAGCAAACTTAAAGGTCCATGCCAGATGGCTCTGAAGAGAACAGTGGACTGCCCAGGACAGCATTCGAGCCCTGCTAAGGGTCAGTCTACCTCCTCAAGTGGGTCCCTGACCCCCATGTATATTGACTGGAAGACACCTCCCAGTTGGGGGTGACAGACACCTCATACAGGAGAGCTCTGGCTGCCATCTGGCAGGTTCCCTGCTGGGTCAAAGCTTCCAGAGGAAAGAACAGGCAGCAATTTTTGCTGCTCTGCAGTCTCTGCTGGTGATACCCAGGCAAACAGGGTCGGGAGTGAATGTCCAGCAAACTCCAACAGACTGGCAGCAGAGGGGCCTGACTGTTAGAAGGAAAAGAAAGAAGCAGAAAGGATTAGTATATCAACTCAAAGACCCCATCCGAAGGTCACCAACATCAAAGACCAAAGATAGATAAATCCACAAATACGGGGAAAAACAAGCGCAAAAAGGCTGAAAATTCCAAAAACCAGAAAGCCTCTCCTCCTCTAAAGGCTCACAACTCCTCGCCAGCAAGGGAGCAAAACTGGATGGAGAATGACTTTGATGAACTGACAGAAGTAGGCTTCAGAAGGTGTGCAATAACAAAAAACTCCAAGCTAAAGGAGCAGGTTCTAACCCAATGCAAGGAAGCTAAGAACCTTGAAAAAATGTTAGGCAAATTGCTAACTAAAATAACCAATATAGAGAAGAACATAAATGACCTGATGGAACTGTGAAACACAGCACGAAAACTTTGTGAAGAATACACAAGTATCAATAGCCAAATCGATAAAGCAGAAGAAAGGATATCAGTGATTGAAGATCAACATAATGAAATAAAGAAAGAAGACAAGATTAGAGAAAAAGGAGCAAAAAGGAATGAACAAAGCCTCCAAGAAATATGGGACTATGTGAAAAGAACAAATCTACGTTTCACTGGTGTACCTGAAAGTGACGGGGAGAATGGAACCAAGTTGGAAAACACTCTTCAGGATATTATCCAGGAGAACTTCCCCAACGTAGCAAGACAGGCCAACATTCAAATTCAGGAAATACACAGAACACCACAAAGATATTCCTCAAGAAGAGCAACCCCAAGACACATAATCATCAGATTCAGCAATGTTGAAATGAAAAAAATGTTAAGGGCAGCCAGAGAGAAAGTTTGGGTTACCCAGAAATCAAAGCCCGTCATACTAACTGGGGATCTCTCTGCAGAAACCCTACAAGCCAGGAAAGAGTGGGGGCGAATATTTATAATTCTTAAAGAAAAAAATTTCATCCTCAAGGATCTAGAGCTAGAAATACCATTTGACCCAGCCATCTCATTACTGGGTATATGCCCAAAGGATAATAAATCATGCTGCTATAAAGACACATGCACACATATGTTTATTGCGGCACTATTCACAATAGCAAAGACTTGGAACCAACCCAAATGTCCATCAATGATAGACTGGATTAAGAAAATGTGGCACATATACAACATGGAATACTATTCAGCCATAAAAAAGGATGAGTTCATGTCCTTTGTAGGGACATGGATGAAGCTGGAAACCATCATTAACAGCAAACTATCACAAGGACAAAAAACCAAACACTGCATATTCTCATTCATAGGTGGGAATTGAACAATGAGAACACTTGGACACAGGAAGGGGAACATCACACACCAGGGCCTGTTGTGGGTTTGGGGGAGGGGGGAGGGATAGCATTAGGAGATATACCTAATGTAAATGATGAGTTAATGGGTGCAGCACACCAGCATGACACACGTATACATATGTAACAAACCTGCACTTTGTGCACATGTACCCTAGAAGTTAAAGTATAATAAAAAATAAAAAATAAAAAAAGGAAGAAGATTCTAACACATGCTACAACACAGATGAAACTTGGAGACATTACACTAAGTGAAATAAGCCAGATACAAAAGGACGAATATTGCATTAGTCCAATTATACGAGGTACCTGGAGCAATCCAATCCAGACAGACAGAGAGTAGAGTGGTGGTTTCCAGGGGCTGAAGAGAGAAGCAATGGGGAGTTACTGCTTAATGGCTGCAGAGTCTCAGTTGGAGATGATGAAAAAGTTCTGGAGATGGATGACGGTGACGGGAGCACAACAACACGATATATACTTCATTCCACAGAACTACCTATCTAAGAACGGTTAAAATGATCAATGTTGTTCTATGATTTATTGTTGTTACCACAATAAAACAAATTTTAACATTTAAAAAAAATTTTCAACCCAGAATTTCATATACAGCCAAACTAGGCTTCACAAGCAAAGGAGAAGTAAAATCCTTTACAGACAAGCAAATGTTGAGGGATTTTGCCACCACCAGACCTGCCTTACAAGAGCTCATGAAAGAGGCACTAAATATGGAAAGGAACAACTGGTACCAGCCACTGCAAAAACATGCCAATTGTAAACAACATCGACACTATGAAGAAACTGCGTTAATTAACGGGCAAAACAACCAGCTAGCATCTTAATTACAGGATCAAATTCACACAGAACAATATTAACCTTAAATGTACAGGGGCTAAATGCCCCAACTAAATGCCACAGACTGGCAAATTGGGTAGAGTCAAGACCCATCACTGTGCTATATTCAGGAGACTCATCTTACGTGCAAAGACACACATAGGCTCAAAATAAAGGGATGGAGGAATATTTACCAAGAAAATGGAAAGCAAAAAAAAAGCAGCAGTTGCAATCCTAGTCTCTGATAAAACAGTCTTTAAATCAACAAAGATCAAAGAAGCCAAAGGGCATTACATAATGGTAAAGGGAACAATGCAGCAAGAAGAGTTAACTTTCCTAAATGTATGTGCACCCAATACAAGAGCACCCAGATGCATAAAGCAAGTTCTTAGAGACCTATAAGGAGACTTAGACACCCACACAATAATAATGGGAGACTTTAACACACCACTGTCAATATTAAACAGGTCAACGAGAGAGAAAATTAACAAGGATATCCAGGACCTGAACTCAGCTCTGGACCCAGCAGACCTAATAGAACTCTACAGAATTCTCCACCCCAAATCAACAGAATATACATTCTTCTCAACACCTCATTGCACTTATTCTAATATTGACTACATAATTGGAAGTAAAACACTCCTCAGAAAATGTAAAAGAACGAAAATCATAACAGTCTCTCAGACCACGGTGCAATCAAATTAGAACTCAAGATTTAGAAACTCACTGAACACCGCAAACTACATGGAAACTGAACATCCTGCTCCTTCATGACTACTGGGTAAATAACAAAATGAAAGCAGAAATGAAGATGTTCTTTGAAACCAATGAGAATGAAGACACAATGTACCAGAATCTCCAGGAAACATATAAAGCAATGTGTAGAGGGAAATTTATAGCACTAAATGCCCACAAGAGAAAGCAAGAATGATCTAAAATTGGCACCCTAACATCAAAATTAAAAGAACTAGAGAAGCAACAGCAAACACATTCAAAAGCTAGCAGAAGACATGAAATAACTAAGAACAGAGTACAACTAAAGGAGAAAGAGTTATGGAAAACCCTTCAAAAAAATCAATGAATCCAGGAGCTGGTTTTTTGGAAAAATAAACAAAATAGACTGCTAGCCAGAATAATAAAGAAGAAAAGAGAGAAGTATCAAATAGACGCAATAAAATCTCATATAGGGGATATCACCACCGGTCCCACAGAAATACAAACTACAATCAGAGAATACTATAAACACCTCTATGCAAATAAACTAGAAAATCTAAAAGAAATGGATAAATTCTTGGACACTTACACCCTCCCAAGTCTAAGCCAGGAAGAAGTTGAATCCCGGAATAGGCCAATAACAGGTTCTGAAATTGAGGCAGCAATGAATAGCCTAACAACTGAAAAAAGTCCAGGTCCAGACTGATCCACAGCTGAATTCCTCCAGAGGTACAAAGAGGAGCTGGTACCATTCCTTCTGAAACTATTCTAAAAAATAGAAAAAGAGGGACTCCTCCCTAACACATTTTATGAGGCCACCATCATCCTGATATCAAAACCTGCCAGAGACACAAGAAAAAAAGAAAATTTCAGGCCAATATCCCTGATGATTATCGATGTGAAAATCCTCAATGAAATACTGGCAAAACGAATCCAAGAGCACATCAAAAAGCTTATCCACCACGATCAAGTTGGCTTTATCCCTGGGATGCAAGGCTGGTTCAACATATGCAAATCAATAAACGTAATCCATCAAATAAACAGAACCAATGACAAAAACCACATGACTATCTCAATAGATGCAGAAAAGGCCTTCAATAAAATTCAACATCCCTTCATGTTAAAAACTCTCAATAAACTAGGTATCAACAGAAAATATCTCAAAATGATGAGAGCTATTTATGACAAACCCACAGCCAATATCATACTGAATGGGCAAAAACTGGAGGCATTCCCTTTGAAAACTTGCACAAGACAACGATGCCCTCTCTCACCACTCCTATTCAACATACTATTGGAAGTTTTGGACAGGGCAATCAGGCAAGAGAAATGAATAAAGGGTATTCAAATAGGAAGAGAGGATGTCAAATTGTCCCTGTTAACAGATGACATGATTGTATATTTAGAACACCCCATCGTCTCCACCCAAAATCTCCTTAAGCTGATAAGCAACTTCAGCAAAGTCTCAGGATACAAAATCAATGTGCAAAAATCACAAGCATTCCTATCCACCAGTAATAGACAGACAGAGAGCCAAATCATGAAAGAACTGCCATTCATAATTGCTACTGAGATAATAAAATACCTAAAAATAAAATTTACAAGGTATGTGAAGGACCTATTCTAGGAGAACTACAAACCACTGCTCAAGGAAATAAGAGAAGACACAAACAAATGGAAAAATATTCCATGCTCATGGATAGTAAAAATTAATATCATGAAAATGGCCTTCCTGCGCATAGTAATTTACAGATTCAATGCTATCCTCATCAAGCTACCACTGACTTTCTTCACAGAATTGGAAAAAACTACTTTAAACTTCATATGGAACCAAAAAAGAGCCTGCATAGCCAAGACAATTCTGGGCAACAAGAACAAAGCTGGAGGTATCACGCTACCTGACTTCAAACTATACTACAAGGCTATATTAACCAAAACAGCATGGTACTGGTACAAAAACAGATATTCAGATCAATGGAACAGAATGGAGGTCTCAAAAATAACACCACACAGCTACAACCATCTGATCTTTGACAAAACTGACACACACAAGCACTGGGGAAAAGATTCCCTATTTAATAAATGGTGTTGGGAAAACTGGCTAGCCATAGGCAGAAAACTGAAACAGGACCCCTTCCTTACACCTTTTCAACTCAAGATGGATCAAATACTTAAACGTAAGACCTAGGACCATAAAAATCCTAGAAGAAAACCTGGGCAATACGTGAACAGCCAACCTACAGAATGGGAGAAAATTTTTGCAATCTATCCATCTGACAATAGGCTAAGATCAAGAATCTACAAAGAACTTAAACAAATTTAAAAGAAAAAACAAACAAACAAACAACCCCATCAAAAAATGGGCAAAGGATATCAACAGACTCTTCAAAGAGAAGACATTTATGCAGCCAGCAGACCTGAAAAATGCTCATCATCACTGGTTATTTTTTTTTTAATTTTCATTCTTTTTTTTAAATTTATTATTATTATACTTTAAGTTTTAGGGTACATGTGCACAATATGTAGGTTAGTTACATATGTAAACATGTGCCATGCTGGTGCCCTGCACCCACTAACTTGTCATCTAGCATTAGGTATATCTCCCAATGCTATCCCACCCCCCTCCCCCCACCCCACAACTGTCCCCAGAGTGTGATGATCCCCTTCCTGTGTCGATGTGTTCTCATTGTTCAATTCCCACCTGTGAGTGAGAATATGCACTGTATGGTTTTTTGTTCTTGTGATAGTTTCCTGAGAATGATGATTTCCAATTTCATCCATGTCCCTACAAAGGACATGAATTCATCATTTTTATGGCTGCATAGTATTCCATGGTGTATATGTGCCACATTTTCTTAATCCAGTCTATCATTGCTGGACATTTGTGTTGGTTCCAAGTCTTTGCTATTGTGAATAGTGCCGCAGTAAACATACGTGTGCATGTGTCTTTATAGCAGCGTGATTTATAGTCCTTTGGGTATATACCCAGTAATGGGATGGCTGGGTCAAATGGTATTTCTAGTTCTAGATCCCTGAGGAATCACCACACTGACTTCCACAATGGTTGGACTAGTTTACAGTCCCACCAACAGTGTAAAAGTGTTCTTATTTCTCCACATGCTCTCCACTACCTGTTGTTTCCTGACTTTTTAATGATTGCCATTCTAACTGGTGTAAGATGGTATCTCATTGCGGTTTTGATTTGCATTTCTCTGATGGCCAGTGATGGTGAGCATTTTTTCATGTGTTTTTTGGCTGCATAAATGTCTTCTTTTGAGAAGTGTCTGTTCATGTCCTTCGCCCACTTTTTGATGGGGTTGTTTGTTTTTTTCTTGTAAATTTGTTTGAGTTCATTGTAGATTCTGGATATTAGCCCTTTGTCAGATGAGTAGGTTGCGAAAATTTTCTCCCATTTTGTAGGTTGCCTGTTCACTCTGATGGTAGTTTCTTTTGCTGTGCAGAAGCTCTTTAGTTTAATTAGATCCCATTTGTCAATTTTGACTTTTGTTGCCATTGCTTTTGGTGTTTTAGACATGAAGTCCTTGCCCATGCCTATGTCCTGAATGGTAATGCCTAGGTTTTCTTCTAGGGTTTTTATGGTTTTAGGTCTAACATTTAAGTCTTTAATCCATCTTGAATTGATTTTTGTATAAGATGTAAGGAAGGGATCCAGTTTCAGCTTTCTACATATGGCCAGCCAGTTTTCCCAGCACCATTTATTAAATAGGGAATCCTTTTCCCATTGCTTGTTTTTCTCAGGTTTGTAAAAGATCAGATAGTTGTAGATACGTAGCATTATTTCTGAGGGCTCTGTTCTGTTCCATTGATCTATATCTCTGTTTTGGTACCAGTACCATGCTGTTTTGGTTACTGTAGCCTTGTAGTATAGTTTGAAGTCAGGTAGTGTGATGCCTCCAGCTTTGTTCTATTGGCGTAGGATTGACTTGGTGATGTGGGCTCTTTTTGGTTCCATATGAACTTTAAAGTAGTTTTTTCCAATTCTGTGAAGAAAGTCATTGGTAGCTTCATGAGGATGGCATTCAATCTGTAAATTGCCTTCGGAAGTATGGCCATTTTCACAAGATTGATTCGACCTACCCATGAGCATGGAATGTTCTTCCATTGGTTTCTATCCTCTTTTATTTCCTTGAGCAGTGGTTTGTAGTTCTCCTTGAAGAGGTCCTTCACATCCCTTGTAAGTTGGATTCCTAGGTATTTTATTCTCTTTGAAGCAATTGTGAATGGGAGTTCACTCATGATTTGGCTCTCTTTTTGTTGATTATTGGTGTATAAGAATGCTTGTGATTTTTGCACATTGATTTTGTATCCTGAGACTTTGCTGAAGTTGCTTATCAGCTGAAGGAGATTTTGGGCTGAGACAATGGGGTTTTCTAGATATACAATCATGTCGTCTGCAAACAGGGACAATTTGACTTCCCCTTTTCCTAATTGAATACCCTTTATTTCCTTCTCCTGCCTCATTGCCCTGGCCAGAACTTCCAACACTATGTTGAATAAGAGTGGTGAGAGAGGGCATCCCTGTCTTATGCAAGTTTTCAAAGGGAATGCTTCCAGTTTTTGCCCATTCAGTATGATATTGGCTGTGGGTTTGTCATAGATAGCTCTTATTGTTTTGAGATACGTCCCATCAATACCTAATTTACTGAGAGTTTTTAGCATGAAGTGTTGTTGAATTTTGTCAAAGACCTTTTCTGCATCTATTGAGATAATCATGTGGTTTTTGTCTTTGGCTCTGTTTATATGCTGGATTACATTTATTGATTTGCGTATACTGAACCAGCCTTACATCCCAGGAATGAAGCCCACTTGATCATGGTGGATAAGCTTTTTGATGTGCTGCTGGATTCGGTTTGCCAGTATTTTATTGAGGATTTTTTCATCAATGTTCATCTAGGATATTGGTCTAAAATTCTCTTTTTTGCTTGTGTCTCTGCCCAGCTTTGCTATCAGGATGATGTTGGCCTCATAAAATGAGTTAGGGAGGATTCCTTCTTTTTCTATTGATTGGAATAGTTTCAGAAGGAATGGTACCAGTTCCTCCTTGTACCTCTGGTAGAATTCGTCCGTGAATCCATCTGGTCCTGGACTCTTTTTGGTTGGTAAGCTATTGATTGTTGCCACAATTTCAGATCCTGTTATTGGTCTATTCAAAGATTCAACTTCTTCCTGGTTTAGTCTGGGGAGAGTGTATGTGTTGAGGAATTTATCCATTTCTTCTAGATTTTCTAGTTTATTTGCATAGAGGTGTTTGTAATATTCTCTGATGGTAGTTTGTATTTCTGTGGGATCACTGGTGATATCCCCTTTATCATTTTTTATTGCGTCTATTTGATTCTTCTCTTTTTTTCTTTATTAGTCTTGCTAGTGGTCTATCAATTTTGTTGATCCTTCCAAAAACCAGCTCCTGCATTAATTAATTTTTTGAAGGGTTTTTTGTGTCTCTATTTCCTTCAGTTCTGCTCTGATGTTAGTTATTTCTTGCCTTCTGCTAGCTTTTGAATGTGTTTGCTCTTGCTTTTCTAGTTCATTTAATTGTGATGTTAGGGTGTCAATTTTGGATCTTTCCTGCTTTCTCCTGTGGGCATTTAGTGCTATAAATTTCCCTCTAAACAATGCTTTGAATGCGTCCCAGGGATTTTGGTATGTTGTGTCTTTGTTCTCATTGGTTTCAAAGAACATCTTTAATTCTGCCATCATTTCGTTATGTATCCAGTAGTCATTCAGGAGCAGGTTGTTCAGTTTCCATGTAGTTGAGTGGTTTTGAGTGAGATTCTTAATCCTGAGTTCTGGTTTGATTGCACTTTGGTCTGAGAGATAGATTGTTATAATTTCTGTTCTTTTATATTTGCTGAGGAAAGCTTTACTTCCAAATACGTGGTCAATTTTGGAATAGGTGTGGTGTGGTGCTGAAAAAAATGTATATTCTCTTGATTTGGAGTGGAGAGTTCTGTAGATGTCTATTAGGCCCACTTGGTGCAGAGCTGAGTTCAATTCCTGGATATCCTTGTTGACTTTCTGTCTCGTAATTCTGTCTAATGTTGACAGTGGGGTGTTAAAGTCTCCCATTATTATTGTGTGAGAGTCTAAGTCTCTTTGTAGGTCTCTAAGGACTTGCTTTATGAATCTGGGTGCTCCTGTATTGGGTGCATATAGATTTAGGATAGTTAGCTCTTCTTGTTGAATTGATCCCTTTACCACTATGTAATGACCTTCTTTGTCTCTTTTGATCTTTGTTGGTTTAAAGTCTGTTTTATCAGAGACTAGGATTGCAACCCCTGCCTTTTTTTGTTTTCCATTTGCTTGGTAGATCTTCCCCCTTCCTTTTATTTTGAGCCTATATGTGTCTCTGCACATGAGATGGGTTTCTTGAATACAGCGCACTGATGGGTCTTGACTCTTTATCCAATTTGCCAGTCTGTGTCTTTTAATTGGAGCATTTAGTCCATTTACATTTAAAGTTAATATTGTTATGTGTGAAATTGATCCTGTCATTATGATGTTAGCTGGTTATTTTGCTCGTTAGTTCATGCAGTGTTTTCCTAGTCTCGATGGTCTTTACATTTTGGCATGATTTTGCAGTGGCTGGTATTGGTTGTTCCTTTCCATGGTTAGCGCTTCCTTCAGGAGCTCTTTTAGGGCAGGCCTGGCGGTGACAAAATCTCTCAGCATTTGCTTGTCTGTAAAGTATTTTATTTCTCCTTCACTTATGAAGCTTAATTTGGCTGGATATGAAATTCTGGGTTGAAAATTCTTTTCTTTAGGAATGTTGAATATTGGCCCCCACTGTCTTCTGGCTTGTAGAGTTTCTGCTGAGAGATCCGCTGTTAGTCTGATGGGCTTCCCTTTGTGGGTAACCTGACCTTTCTCTCTGGCTGCCCTTAACATTTTTTCCTTCATTTCAACTTTGGTGAGTCTGACAATTATGTATCTTGGAGTTGCTCTTCTCTAGGATTATCTTTGTGGCATTCTCTGTATTTCCTGAATCTGAATGTTGGCCTGCCTTGCTAGATTGGGGAAGTTCTCCTGGATAATATCCTGCAGAGTGTTTTCCAACTTGGTTCCATTCTCCTCATCACTTTCAGGTACACCAATCAGATGTAGATTTGGTCTTTTCACATAGTCCCATATTTCTTGGAGGCTTTGCTCATTTCTTTTTATTCTTTTTTCTCTAAACTTCCCTTCTCACTTCATTTCATTCATTTCATCTTCCATCACTGATAACCTTTCTTCCCATTGATCACATCTGCTCCTGAGGCTTCTGCATTCTTCACGTAGTTCTCGAGCCTTGGTTTTCAGCTCCATCAGCTCCTTTAAGCACTTCTCTGTATTAGTTATTCTAGCTATACATTCTTCTAAACTTTTTTCAAAGTTTTCATCTTCTTTGCCTTTGGTTTGAATTTCCTCCCATAGCTCGGAGTAATTTGATTGTCTGAAGCCTTCTTTTCTCAGCTTGTCAAAGTCATTCTCCATCCAGCTTTGTTCTGTTGCTGGTGAGGAACTGCGTTCCTTTGTAGGAGGAGAGGCGCTCTGCTTTTTAGAGTTTCCAGTTTTTCTGCTCCGTTTTTTCCCCATCTTTGTGGTTTTATCTACTTTTGGTCTTTGATGATGGTGATGTACAGATGGGTTTTTGGTGTGGATGTCCTTTCTGTTTGTTAGTTTTCCTTCTAACAGACAGGACCCTCGGCTGCAGGTCTGTTGGATTACCGGGCCATGTGAGGTGTCAGTGTGCCCCTGCTGGGGGGTGCCTCCCAGTTAGGCTGCTCGGGGGTCAGGGGTCAGGGACCCACTTGAGGAAGCAGTCTGCCTGTTCTCAGATCTCCAGCTGCGTGCTGGGAGAACCATTGCTCTCTTCAAAGCTGTCAGACAGGGACATTTAAGTCTGCAGAGGTTACTGCTGTCTTTTTGTTTGTCTGTGCCCTGCCCCCAGAGGTGAAGCCTAGCAGGCAGGCCTCCTTGAGCTGTGG
This sequence comes from Homo sapiens, assembly GCF_000001405.40. Lineage (NCBI taxonomy): Eukaryota > Metazoa > Chordata > Mammalia > Primates > Hominidae > Homo > Homo sapiens. Next base: position 76,288,506 of record NC_000023.11, on the reverse strand, counting down.
TGGTCTCCACCCAGTGTGAGTTTCTGGGATGCTTTGTTTACCTAAACAACCCTGGGCAATGGCGGGCGCCCTTCCCCAGCCTAGCTGCTGCCTTGCAGTTTGATCTCAGACCGCTGTGCTAGCAATCAGCAAGACTCCGTGGGCATAGAACTCTCTGAGCCATGTGTGGGATATAATCTCCTGGTGTGCCGTTTTTTAAGCCCATCGGAAAAGTGCAGTTTTCGGGTGAGAGTGACCCGATTTTCCAGGTGCCATCTGTCACCACTTTCTTTGACTAGGAAAGGGAACTCCCTGACCCCTTGTGCTTCCCGAGTGAGGCAATGCCTCGCCCTGCTTCGGCTCATGCACAGTGCACACACCCACTGACCTGCACCCACTGTCTGGCACTCCCTAATGAGATGAACCTGGTACCTCAGATGGAAATGCAGAAATCATCCGTCTTCTGTGTCGCTCACGCTGGGAGCTGTAGACTGGAGCTGTTCCTATTCGGCCATCTTGGCTCCTCTCTCATCACTGGTTATTAGGGAAATGTAAATCAAAACCACACTGAGATACCATCTCACGCTAGTTAGAATGGCGATCATTAAAAAGTCATGAAACAACAGATGCTGGAGAGATTGTGCAAAAATAGGAATGATTTCACAATGTTGGTGGGAGTGTAATTTAGTTCAACCATTGTGGAAGACAGCGTGGCAACTCTTTAAGGATCGAGAACTAGAAATACCATTTGACCCAGCAATCTCATTACTGGGTATGTACCCAAAGGATTATAAATCATTCTATGATAAAGACACATGCATATGTATGCTCCTTGTGGCACTATTCACAATAGCAAAGACTTGGAACCAATCCAAATGTCCATCAATGACAGACTGAACTAAGAAAATGTGGCACATGTACAACACGGAATGCTATTCAGCCATAAAAAGAGACGAGTTCATGGTTTTTGCAGGGGCATGAATAAAGCTGGAAACCATCTTTCTCAGGAAACTAACACAGGAAAAGAAAACTAAACACAGAATGTTCTCACTCATAAGTGGGAATTGAGTAATGAGAACACATGGACACAGGGAGGTGAATGTCACACACCAGGGCCTGTCAGGGGGTTGGGGGCTAGGTTTGGGATAGCATTAGGAGAAATACCTAATGTCAATGACGGGTTGATGGGTGCAGCAAACGACCATGGCACGTGTATATCCATGTAACTAACCTGCATGTCCTGCACATATACCTCAGAACTTAAAGTATAATAATAAAAAAAGAGAAAAAAAGAAAGACTAAACAATGAATCAATCAAAAAGAATAACTACAACAACTTTTTAAGACATATCAGTAGAATAAGATACTAATATATACAAGAAAAAGTTAAAAAACAGGGAGATGAAGTCGAGGTGTAGAGATGTCAGTTTTTTAGTTTTTCTTGTTCATTTTTTGAGATGGAGTCTCAGTCTGTTGCCCAGGCTGGACTGCAGTGGTGCAATCTCATCTCACTGCAACCTCCACCTTCTGAGTTCAAGTGATTCTCCAGCCTCAACCTCTTAAGTAGCTTAGATTACAGGCATGTGCTGCCACACCTGGATGATTTTTGTATTTTTAGTAGAGAGAGGGTTTCACCATGTTGTCCAGACTAGTCTTCAATCCCTGACCTAGGTGATCCACCCACCTTGGTCTCCTGAAGTGCTAAGATTACAGAAGTGAGCCACTATGCCTGGCCATTAGGTTTTTGTTGTTGCTGTTGTTGTTTGTTTGTTTATGCAAACAGTGTTCAGTTGTCATCAGCTTAAAATAATGGGTTATAAGATAGTGTTTGCAAGCCTCATAGTAACCTCAAAGCAAAAAAACATATAACACACATACAAAAAATAAAAAGCAAAAAACTAAATTATATCAATGGAGAAAACCAACTTCACTAAGAGAAAGGCAGGAAGAAAAAAAGAAGGAAGAAAAGACCACAAAACAGCAGAAAGCAAATAACAAAATGACAGAAGCAAGTCTTTACCTTTATCATTAGTAGCATAGAATGTAAATGAACTAAATCTCCAATTAAAAGCCATAGAGTGGTTTAACAGGTGAAAGCACAATGCCCATTGATCTGCTGCCTACAGGAAGCACACTTCACCTATAAAAACACACAGAGTAAAAATAAAGGGATGGAAAAAAGATATTCTATGCCAATGACAACAAAAAAAATAGCAGAAGTAGCTATGCTTATATTAGACATAATAGATTTCAAGACAAAAAACTATCAAAAGAGACAATTGATATCTCTATATAACAATAAAATGGTCAATTGAGCAAGAGAACATAACAAATTTAAATATATATGCACCCAACACTAGAGCACCCAGACATATAAAACAAATATTATTAAAGCTAAAGAGAGAGATTGACTCCAATCCAATAATAGCTGGATACTTCAATACCTCATTCTCAGCACTGGACAGAACATCCAGATGAAAAATCAACAAAGAAACATAGTCTGAACTATATACCAAATAAATGTAGAAGACATTTATGGAATATTTCATCAAATGGCTGCAGAATACATGTTATATTCATCAGCACATGGATTATTCTCAAAGACAGACCATATGTTAGGCCACAAGACAAGTCTTAAAACATTTTAAAAATTAAAATGAGGCAGGTCATGGTGGCTCACACCTGTAATCCCAACACTTTGAGAGGCCAAGGTGGGTAGGTCATCTGAGGTCAGGAGTTTGAGACCAGCCTGGCCAACATGATGAAACCCAGTCTCTACTAAAAATACAAAAAATTAGCTGGGCAGGGTGGTGTATGCCTGTAATCCCAGCTACTCAGGAGGCTGAGGAGGGAGAATCACAGGAAACCAGGAGGCAGAGGTTTCAGTGAGCTGAGATTGCATCACTGCACTTCAGTCTGGGTGACAGAGTGAGACTACATCTCAAAAAAAATTAAAATAATGTCAAGTATTTTCTCTAACCATAATGAAATAGAATTAGAAATCAAAATCAGAAAAAAAAGAGCAGTTTTGGAAAATATACAAATACATGAAGATTGCACAATATGCTCCTGAATATCTACTGCATCATTGAAAAAATTTAGAAGAAAATGGAAAGACATCTTGAAACAAATAATAATGGGGGCATGATATATAAAACCTAAGGTATACAGTGAAAGCAGTACAAAGACGAAAGTTTATAGCTCTAAATGCCTACATCAAAAAAGAGAAAAACTCAAAATAAACAATCTAACAATGCATATTAAAATCACAAAAGCAAGAGCAAGTCAAATACAAAGTTAGTAGAAGAAAAAAATTAAGATCAGAGCAGAAATAAATAAAATTGAAATGAAGAACCAATTCAAAAGATCAGTGCAACAAAAAGTTGGTTTTTTGAAAAGTTAAACAAAATAGACCAATTGTTAGCCTAATCAAGACAAAAAGAGAGATAATACAAATAAAACAAAATAAAAAAGAAGACATAATGACTGATACCATGGAATTTCAAAGGATTATAAGTGGCTACTATGGGCAACTATACGACAATAAATTGGGAAATCTAGAAGAAATGGAAAAATTCCCAGACACATTCAACCTACCAAGATAGAACCTCCAGAAAGATATAAAAATCCTGAGATCACTAACAAGTAATGAGATTAAAGCTGTAATAAAAAGTCTCCCAGTAAAGAAAAGCCTGGAACCCAATGGCTTCACTACTGAATTTTACCAAACATTTAAAGAAATAATACCAATTAAACTCAAACTTTTCTGAAAAATAGAGGAGGAGGTTATACTTTCAAACTCATTCTACAAAGCCACTAGTACCCTAATACCAAAACCAAACAAAGTCACATAAAAATAAAAAACAAACCAAAAGAAAACTATGAGTCAATATCACTGATGAATATTGATGCAAAAATCTTCAACAAAATACTGGCAAACGAAATTCAACAATAGTTAGATAGAATATACAATATGGCCAAGTGGGATTTATTTCTGGGATACAAAAATGCTTCAACATATGCAAATCAATCAATGTGATACACCATATCAACAGAATGAAGGATAAAACCATATAATTATTTAATTAAGGCTAAAAAAGCATTTGATAAAATGTAACCTCCCTTCACTATTAGAAAAGAACTCTCAAAAAACATGGTACAGAAGGGACATACATCAATGTAATAAGAGTTATCTATGAAAGACCCACAGTGAGTACCATACCAAATGGCAAAAAACTGAAAGCCTTTCCTCTAAGATCTGCAACAAGACAAGGATGCCCACTTTCATCACTGTTACTCAACATAATACTGGAAATTCTAACTAGAGGAATCAGACAGGATAAAGATATAAAGGACATTCACAATGGAAAAAAAGAAGTCAAATTATCCTTGTTTACATATAATATGATATTATATATGGAAAAAAATAAGGGCTCCCCAAAAATAAACTATTAGAACTGATAAACAAATTCAGTAAACTGGCAGGATACAATATCAACATACATAAATCAGTCACGTTTTCATATGCCACAGTAAACAATGTGAAAAAAATTAAAAACCAATCCCGTTTGTTAATACAATAGCCACACATTAAATTAACCTAACCAGAAAAGTGAAAAATCTCTATAATAAGAACTATCAAACACTGATGAAAGAAATTGAAAGGAACATAAAAAATAGAAATACATTTCATGTTTATGGAATGGAAGATTCAATATTTTTAAAATGTCCTTACTACTTACAGCAATCTCCAGATTCAATGCAATTCTTATCAAAATACTAAAGACATTCTTCAGGTAAATAAAAAACATTCTCAAATTTATATGGAACTACAAAAACACAGCATAGCCAAAGCTATCCTAAGCAGAAATAATAAAACTGGAGCAGTCACATTACCTGACTTCAAATTATACTACAGAGCTATAGTAACCAAAACAGCAAGGTGCTGGCATAAAAACAGACAGACCAATGGAACAGAATAGAGAAGCAAGAAATAAATACATACACCTACAGCAAATTCACTTTTAATAAAGGTGCCAAAAATACACTGGGGAAAAGACAGTGTATGTTTATTGTTTTTCAATAAATGGTGAAGAAAAACGGGATCTCCATATGCAGAAGAATAAAACTAGTCCTCTATCTTTCACCCTACACAAAAACTAGATCAAAATGAATCAAAGACTTCAGTCTAACACTTCAGTTTATAAAACTACTTCAAGAAAATGTTCAGGAAAATCTCCAGAACATTACTCTGGGCAAAGATTTGTCAAGCAATGCACCACAAGCACAGGCACGCAAAGCAAACATCAACAAATTGGATCACATCATGTTAAAGAGCTTCTGCAAAGCAAATGATACAATCAACAAAGTGAAGAGACAGTTCACAGAATGGAAGAAAATATTTGCAAACTACCCATATAACAAGGGATTAATAATCAGAATATGCATGGAGCTCAAACAACTCTATAGGGAAAAATTTAATAATTCAATCAAAAAGTGCACAAAGATTGGTATACACATTTCTCAAAAGAAAATATAGAAATGACAACAGGCATATGAAAAGGTGCTCAACACCATTCACGATCAGAGAAATGCAAATCAAAACTACAATAAGATATCAACTCGCTCCCGTTAAAATGGCTTATATCCAAAAGATAGGCAACACTGGAAAGAATGTGGAGAAAAGGGAACACTCATACACTGTTGGTGGAAATCTAAATTAGTACAGCCACTATGGGGAACAGTTTGGAGAATCCTCCAAAATGAAATCTAAAAATAGAACTACCATGCAGTCCAGCAATACTACAGCTGGGTATATACCCAAAGTATGAAAACCAGTATGTCAAAGAAATATCTGCACTCCCATATTTGTTGTAATGCTGTTAACAATAGCCGAGATTTGGAAACAATCTAAGTGTCTCTTAATAGACTAATGCAAAAAGGAAATGTGTAAGGTGTAAGGAAGTGGTCCAGTTTCAGTTTTCTGCATATGGCTAGCCAGTTTTCCCAGCACCATTTATTAAATAGGGAATGCTTTCTGCATTGCTTGTTTTTGTCAGAGTTCTCAAAGATCAGATGGTTGTAGATGTGTAGTGTTACTTCTGAGGTCTGTGTTCTGTTCCATTGGTCTATATGTCTGTTTTTGTACCAGTACCATGCTGTTTTGGTTACTGTAGCCTTGTAGTATAGTTTGAAGTCAGGTAACATGATGTCTTCAGCTTTGTTCTTTTTGCTTAGGATGGTCTTGGCTATATGGGCTCCTTTTTGGTTCCCTATAAAATTTAAAGTATGTTTTTCTAACTCTGTGAAGAATGTCAATGGTAGTTTGAAGGGAATAGCATCGAATCTATAAATTACTTTGGGCAGTATAGCCATTTTCATAATATTGATACTTCCTATCCATGAGGATGGAATGTTTTTCCATTTGTTGGTGTCCTCTCTTATTTCCGTGAGCAGTGGTTTGTAGTTCTCCTTGTTCCTTCACATCCCTTGTTAGCTGTATTCCTAGGTATTTTGTTCTCCTTTTAACAATTGTGAATGGGAGTTCATTCATGATTTGTCTCTCTGCTTGCCTATTGTTGGTGTCTAAGAATGCTTGTGATTTTTGCACATCGATTTTGAATCCTGAGACTTGGCTGAAGTTGCTTATAAGCTTAAGGAGTTTTTGGGCTGAGATGATGGGATTTTCTAAATATATTATTATGTCATCTGCAAACAGAGACAATTTGACTTCCTCTCTTCCTATTTGTATATGCTTTATTTCTTTCTCTTGTCTGATTGTCCTGGCCAGAACTTCCAATACTATGTTGAATAGGAATGTTGAGACAAGACATCCATGGATTAAAGACTTAAATGTAAAACCCCAAACCATAAAAACCCTAGAAGAAAACCTAGGCAATACCATTTAGGAAATAGGCATTGGCAAACAATTCTTGATGAAAATGCCAAAAGCAAATTCAACAAAAGCCAAAATTGGCAATGGGATCTAATTAAACTACAGAGCTTCTGCACAGCAAATAAACTATCATCAGAGTGAACAGGCAACCTACAGAATGGGAGAAAATCTTTGCAATCCACCTATCTGACAAAGGTCTAATATCCAGAATCTACAAGGAACTTATATTTACAAGAAAAAGCAAACATTCTCGTCAAAAAGTTGGCAAAGGATATAAACAGACACTTCTCAAAAGAAAACATTTATGTGACCCACAAATATATGAAAAAAGGCTCAACATCACTGATCATTAGAGAAATGCAAATCAAAACCACAATGAGATACCATCTCACGCCAGTTGGAATGGCAATTATTTAAAAGTCAAGAAACAATAGATGGTGGTGAGGGTGTGGATAAAGAGGAACTCTTTTACACTGTTGCTAGAAATGCAAATTAGTTCAACCATTGTGGAAGACAATGTGGTGACTCATCAAGGATCTAGAACCAGAAATACCACTTGACCCAATGATCCCATTACTGGGTATATATCCAAATGAATATAAATCATTCTACTATAAAGACACATGCATATGTAAGTTTATTGCAGCACTATTTACAATAGCAAAGACATAGAATCAACCCAAATGCCCAACAATTCTAGACTGGATAAAGAAAATATGGTACATATACACCATGAAATACTATGCAGCCATAAAAACGAATGAGATCATGAGATTTGCAGGGACATGGATGAATCTGGAAGCCATCATCCTCAGCAAACTAACACAGGAACAGAAAGCCAAACACTACATGTTCTCACTCATAAGTGGGAGTTGAACAATGAGAGCAAATGGACACAGGAAGGGAAACGATACACACCGGGGCCAGTCTGGGGATGGGAGGTAAGGAGAGGAAAGTCATTAAGAGAAATAGCTAATGCATGTGGGGCTTAAAACTTAGATGATGGGTTAATAGGTGCAGCAAACTACCATGGCACACAATACCTATGTAACAAACCTACACATTGTGCACTTGTATCCTAGAACTTAAAGTAAAATTTAAAAAAAGAAAAAGAAAATGTACATATACACAACGGAGTACTATTCAGCTATTAGAAAATAAAATTCAGTTATTTGCCATACACGGATGAAACTGGAGTTTATTATGTTACGTGAAATAAGCCAGGCACAGAAAGACAAACATCACATGTTGTCACTTTTTTTGTGAAATCTCAAAATCAAAGCAATTGAACCCATGGAGATAGAGAGTAGAGTGACGGTTGTCAGAGGCTTCGAAAGGTAGTGGGGCAGTGAGCGGGAGGTGGGGATGGTTAATGGGTACAAAATATAGTTAAAATGAATGAACAAGCCCTAGTATTTGATAGCACAACTGGATGACTATAATCAATAATAATTTAATTGTGTATGTAAAAATAACTAAAATAGTATAACTGAATCGTTTGTAACACAAAGAATAAATACTTGAAGAGATAAATACCCCATCTTCCATGATGTGATTATTATGCATTGCCTGTCAGTGTCTAAATATCTCATATACCTTATAAACATATACACCTATTATGTACCCACATAAATTAAAAATTTTTAAATTTAAAAAATCAAATGGCGATATGGTAGATTATAAACAAATTATATATAAAAATTAGCAGATTCTGAGATATATGCAAAAATACTAAGGGCTAATAATGTCCAGGGAAATCCTAAAGAAGTTAAAGTTTTAACACAAGATGTCAAAAATAATTATAGAGTTTCAATTCTAGCATGGCAATATAGAAGCAAGTTTGTTTCTCTTTCACCCACGAAAAACAAAAACAAAAAAAAAATATATAGCACCAAGATCTTCACAGGCAACAACCCAGAGCTCAAGTATAAGGGTGGACAGTTATCAGGGTCACAGAGCAGTGGAAAAACTCTGAGCAGACCGTAGGAGATCTGGAAATTCACATCCACAATGCCCTCCCCTCCATTCTTCCAGGCACCAACCATAATGAGTAACTCACCTCAACTCATGATTTCTACACTGGGAAAAGTAAAATTGAGCTGGTCAACCATCATTTTCACCTTCTTGGTTCCCTTGGCAAAAAACAAAAAAAAACTGTTTGTGCCTTAATTCATAGGTACTATCACAACATCCAGAGGGAGAACTATCCCTGAGGACAGGCAGAGACAAAGGAAAGAAGAAAGACTAGCATCCTTAGCCAGGAAATTCAGCTCTGTAAGTCAGCCAAAAAGATCCCAAATGAGAGTGGCTGGAGGTACATTCTCCAGGTCCCCAGGGAAAAATCCAGCCAGACTTCCCACTCTGCTGGGATAATCCCTTTAGGATCTTCCACATTTGGAACTGGTAGTGCTCTGACAATTTACTAGAGCTGAGACAAACCTGGGGTTAGGGTGCCACCTAGAGCCAAAAAGGAGACAGCAACCTATCAGTAAACCTAAAGCAAACAGTAAAACTTAAGCAAATATATCTAGTAAAAACCAGAACAAGCTAGATAAAGAAAAGTGGAATAAAAAATAAATACTTCAATGCAAAGACATAGATTTATAACCACAGAAAACTACAGCAAATGGAAACATAACCTTCCCCAAATGACAAAGCAAAAATCCAGTGACTGACCAAAACAAGATAGCAATTTGTGAGCTCTCTGACCAAGAGTTCAAAGTAGCAGTTTTAAGGAAACCTATTGATCTCCAAGATAACAATAAAAAGTAAATTAAAAATTTATCAGAAAAATTTGACTAAGAAACTGACATAAATAATAAAAAGATATGTTGGAAATGAGAAACACATTTGCTGATCCAAAGTCATTAGAGGCTCAAAACAGTAGAATGGATCAAGTAGAGGAAAGAATCAGTGAGCTTGAAGACTGGCTATTTGAAAGTGCACATTTAGAGGCCAAAAAATAAAAAAAGAATAAAAAGGAATGAAGATCAACTACAAGGTGTAGAAAATTACTTCAAATGATCAAATCTAAGAATTATTGGTGTTCAAGAGGGAGCTGAGCAAGAACAAAGGCTGGAAAGGTTATTTAAAGGAATAATAACAAAAAATTTTCCAAAATTTGAGCAATATATAAATATCCAGACACAGGAAGGTCTGATAACAACAGATTCAACCCAAATAAGACTACCTCAAAAGGAAATAACAATCAAACTCTCAAAGGCAAGAACAAAAAGATCCTATATGCAGCAAGAGAAAAGTAGCAAATAACATGTAAAAGAGATTCAATTCATATGGCAACAAATTTCTTAATGGTAACCAAAAATGCTGCAGGAAAAAAAAAGACATTTTCAAAGTGCTTTTAAAAAAAACCCTGTTGGGGGATCTAGAACTAGAAATACCATTTGACCCAGCCATCCCATTACTGGGTATATACCCAAATGACTATAAATCATGCTGCTATAAAGACACATGCACACGTATGTTTATTGCGGCATTATTCACAATAGCAAAGACTTGGAACCAACACAAATGTCCAACAATGATAGACTGGACTAAGAAAATGTGGCACATATACACCATGGAATACTATGCAGACATAAAAAATGATGAGTTCATGTCCTTTGTAGGGACATGGATGAAATTGGAAATCATCATTCTCAGTAAACTATCGCAAGAACAAAAAACCAAACACCGCATATTCTCACTCATAGGTGGGAATTGAACAATGAGATCACATGGACACATGAAGGGGAATATCACACTCTGGGGACTGTGGTGGGGTGGGGGGAGCGGGGAGGGATAGCATTGGGAGATATACCTAATGCTAGATGACGAGTTAGTGGGTGCAGCGCACCAGCATGGCACATGTATACATATGTAACTAACCTGCACAATGTGCACATGTACCCTAAAACTTAAAGTATAATAAAAAAAAAAAGAAGAAAAAAAAAAAACCCTGTTGGAAGGGAGCATCACACACCTGTCGGGGGTCAGGGGCTAGGGGAAGGATAGCATTAGGATAAATACCTAATGTAGATAATAGGTTGATGGGTGCAGGAAACCACCATGGCGGGTGTATACCTATGTAACTAACCTGCACATTCTGCACATGTATCCCAAAACCTAAAGCATAATTTTTTTAAAAAAAAGCCTCTCACCCAAGAATATTGTATCCAACAAAATTTTCATTCAAATTTGAAGGAAAGATAAATTATTTTAGAGAAAAATGAAAGCTGATAGAATTCACCACTGCCACACCTGCATTATAAGGAATGCTAAAGGGTGTACTTCAGTCTGAAAGAAAACAACACTAATGCACTAATGTGCAAAATAAAACTTTTCAAGGCATAAAACCCACTGATAGTAAAGTACATACATGAACCCAGAATATTGCTGTATTTTCAGTGTGCAATCCACTCATAACTCTAGTACAGAGCCCAAAATAAAAATTTAGCAAAAACAATAATAGCTACAACAACTTTTTAATAGATAGATAGTCAATATAAAAATATGTAAATTGAGGCAAGTAAAAGTCAAAATAAGAGAGATGATGGAGTAAAAGAGTAGATTTTTTGTGTTATTCTCCCTTTGTTTCTTTCTTTTCTTTCATTTGTGATTTGAGGTAAGTCATTTTCTCTTTAAAATTGCTTGTTACATCTATAAAATATTTTTCTAAGTCTAATAATAACCACAGCACAAAAACCGATTTTTAGATTCACTAAAAAAAAGCAACAAATTAAAACATAATTCCAGTGATAATCACTTATCCACAAAGAAAGAGAGTAAGACAAGAAGAAAGGAAAAGAGGGGTCTCAAAACAACCAGAAAACAAGCAACAAAATGACAGTAGTAAGTCCTTACTTATTAATAATAACACTGAATGTAAATGGACTCGTCTTCAATTAAAAGACATAAAGTGGCTGAATAGAAAAATACACAAGGCACAATTATATGCTGCTTTAAGGAACCCACTTTACCCTACAAAGACACACACAGACCGAAGTAAAGGCATGGAAAAAGGTATTCCATTGAAATGAAAACCAAAAAACATCAAGAGTAGCCATGCTTATATTGATATTAATACAATAGACTGTAAATCAAAGATTTTTTAAAGTAAGGTCACTATATAATAATAAAAGAGTCAACTCAGAAGGAGGGTATACCACTTATGAATATCTATGCATCCAACACCAGAGCTTACAACACTCTAAAGCAAACATTAATATATCTGAAGGGAGAGATAGACTGCATTATAATAATAGTAGAGGACTTTAATAACCCACTCTTGGTAATGGACAGATCACCTTGACAGAAAATCAAAAAAGCAACAGGGGGTTACACTACACGTGAGATCTAATAGGCCTAACAGATATTTACACATAATATCACCCAATTGCTGGAGAATAAAAATTCTTTTCATCAGCACATGGAATATTTTCCAGAATAAATCATATCTTAGGCCACAAAACAAGTTTTTAAAACTTAAAAATAATATAAGTTACATCAAGAATCTCCTCTAGTCACAATGGAATAAAAAACTAGAAATCAATAATAAGGGGAATCTAGGAAATTACACAGACACGTGGAAATTAAACACCGTGCTCCTGATTGACCAATGAGCCAATGAAGACATTAAGAATAAAGTTTAAATATTTCTTTTTTTTTTTTTTTTTTGAGACGGAGTCTCGCTGTTGCCCAGGCTGGAGTGCAGTGGCTCAATCTCGGCTCACTGCAGGCTCCGCCCCCTGGGGTTCATGCCATTCTCCTGCCTCAGCCTCCGGAGTAGCTGGGACTACAGGCGCCCGCCACCTCGCCCGGCTAATTTTTTGTATTTTTAGTAGAGACGGGGTTTCACCGTGTTAGCCAGGATGGTCTCGATCTCCTGACCTCGTGATCCGCCCGCCTCGGCCTCCCAAAGTGCTGGGATTACAGGCGTGAGCCACCGCGCCCGGCCTAAATATTTCTTGAAACAAATGAAAATGGAATACCACATACCAAAATCTATAAGATGCAGCAAAAGCAGTACTAATAAGGATGTTTATACCAATAAATGCTTACATCAAAAAAGTATGAAGAGTTTAAATCAACAACTTAAAGATGCACCTCAAGGAATTAGAAATGAAAGAGCAAACAAACCCAAAATTAGTAGAAACAAAGTAACAAGAATCAGAGCAGTAATAAATAAAATTAAAAGTAAAAAAATACAGATGATCAGCTACACAAAAAGTTGTTTTTTTGATAAATAAATTAACAGAGCTCCAGCTAGACTAAGAAAAAAAAGAGAGAATTCAAATAAATAAAATCAGAAACAAAAAAAGGAGACATAAGAACTGAGACTTCAGAAAAAGAAAGAATTATTAGAGACTATTATGGACAACCTACACTCCAACAAATTGGAAAACCTAGAAGAAATGGGTAAATTCCTGGACACATACAACCTATTAAGATCGAACCAAGAAGAAATAGAAAACCTCAATGAAGCAATAATGAATAATTAGATTGAAGTTATAATAAAAAATTTTTGTTAAAGAATAGCTCAGGGCCTCTAGCTCAAAGCTGAGTTCCACCAAACATTTAAAGAATACTAGTATTATTCAAACCTCAAACTGTTCAAAAAAATTAAATAGAAAAGGATACATTCAAACTCATTCTATGAGGCCAATTCACCGTCATACCAAAGCCAGATGAGAAGACAACAAAAAAAGAAAACTATAGGCCAATATTCCTGATGAACATAGACTCAAAAATTCTCAACCAAATACTAGCAAATCAAATTCAACAGCACATAAAATAAATCATTTACTATAATCAAGTGTGGCTTATCTCAGGGATGCAAGGAAGGTTGAGCATATACAAACCAATCAATATGACACATTACACCAACAGAATGAGGGACAAAAGCCATTTGATCATCTCAATAGATATACAAAAATTGTTCAACAAAATTCAACATTCCATCATGGTGAAAACATTCAAAAAACTAGAAATAAAAAATGTATTTCAACACATTAAAGACCATTTCTAACAAATCCACAGCAGACATCATACTAAATTAGGAAAAGTTGAAAGCTTATAAAAAATAAAAGGATTCCAAATTAAAAATAAATAAGTAAAATCATTTCTGTTTGAAGATCACATAATCTTATACACAGAAAACTTAAAGACTCCACCAAAATACTGTTAGAACTAGAAGTAAAAAACAAATTCAATAAAGTAAATGAGTTCAGTAAATCAACATAGAAAATTCAGTAGCATGTCTATATATTAACAACAAAGTAATTCAAAAGGAAAATAAGAGAACAATCCCATTTACAATCTCTACAAAACATAAACTGTTCAGGAATAAGTTCAACCAAGGAGGTAAAAGATCTCTACACTGAAAAGTATACAACATAGATGAAAGAAATTGAAGACGATACAAAGAAATGAAAAGACATCTATGTTCATGGATTGAACGAATTAATATTGTTGAATTTGCTGGCAAGATGGCCAAATAGGAACAGCTCCCGTCTGCAGCTCCCAGCGAGATAGATACAGAAGGTGGGTGATTTCTGCATTTCCAACTGAAGTACACAGTTCATCTCATTGGGACTTGTTGGATAGTGGGTGCAGCCCACAGAGGGTGAGTTGAAGCAGGTTGGCATTTCACCTTACCAGGGAAGTGCCAGGGGTTGGGAAATTTTCCTCCCCTAGCCAAGGGAAGCCATGAGGGACTGTGCCATGAAGAACAGTAGACTCCAGCCCAGATACTGTGCTTTACTCATGGTCTTTGCAACCCACAGACCAGGGGATCCCCTCCGGTGCCTATGCCACCAAGGCCTGGGGTTTCAAGAACAAAACTGGGCAGCCATTTGGGAGGACACTGAGCTAGCTGCAAGAGTATATATATATATATCTCCCAGTGGCACCAGAAACATCAGTCAGACAGAGGCGTTCACTCTTCTGGAAAGGGGGTTTAAGCCAGGGTACCAAGTGGTCTGGCTCTGTGGATCCCAACCCCATGGAGCCCAGGAAGCTAAGATCCACTGGCTTGAAATTCTTGCAGCCAGAACAGCAGTCTGAGGTCGACTTGGGATGCTCCAGCTTGGCGGGGGAGGGGTGTCCACCACTGCTGAGGCTTGAGTATGGCATGTTACCCTCACAGTGTAAATGAAGCCACCAGGAATTTGTTTTTTTTTTTTTTTTTGGTCAGCTATTTCAATTTTTTTTTATTATATTTTAAGTTTTAGGGTACATGTGCACATTGTGCAGGTTAGTTACATACGTATATATGTGCCATGCTGGTGCGCTGCACCCACTAACTCGTCATCTAGCATTAGGTATATCTCCCAATGCTATCCCTCCCCCCTCACCCCACCCCACCACAGTCTCCAGAGTGTGATATTCCCCTTCCTGTGTCCATGTGATCTCATTGTTCAATTCTCACCTATGAGTGAGAACATGTGGTGTTTGGTTTTTTGTTCTTGCGATAGTTTACTGAGAATGATGATTTCCAATTTCATCCATGTCCCTACAAAGGACATGAACTCATCATTTTTTATGTCTGCATAGTATTCCATGGTGTATATGTGCAACATTTTCTTAATCCAATCTATCATTGTTGGACATTTGGGTTGGTTCCAAGTCTTTGCTATTGTGAATAATGCCGCAATAAACATACGTGTGCATGTGTCTTCACAGCAGCATGATTTATAGTCTTTTGGGTATATACCCAGTAATGCGATGGCTGGGTAAAATGGCATTTCTAGTTCTAGATCCCTGAGGAATCGCCACACTGACTTCCACAATGGCTGAACTACTTTACAGTTCCACCAACAGTGTAAAAGTGTTCCTATTTCTCCACATCCTCTCCAGCACCTGTTTTTTCCTGACTTTTTAATGATCGCCATTCTAACTGGTGTGAGATGGTATCTCATTGTGGTTTTGATTTGCATTTCTCTGATGGCCAGTGATGGTGAGCATTTTTTCATGTGTTTTTTGGCTGCATAAATGTCTTCTTTTGAGAAGCGTCTGTTCATGTCCTTTGCCCACTTTTTGATGGGGTTGTTTGTTTTTTTCTTGTAAATTTGTTTGAGTTCATTGTAGATTCTGGATAATAGCCCTTTGTCAGATGAGTAGGTTGCGAAAATTTTCTCCCATTTTCTAGGTTGCCTGTTCACTCTGATGGTAGTTTCTTTTGCTGTGCAGAAGCTCTTTAGTTTAATTAGAACCCATTTGTCAATTTTGACTTTTGTTGCCATTGCTTTTGGTGTTTTAGACATGAAGTCCTTGCCCATGCCTATGTCCTGAATGGTAATGCCTATGTTTTCTTCTAGGGTTTTTATGGTTTTAGGTCTAACATTTAAGTCTTTAATCCATCTTGAATTGATTTTTGTATAAGATGTAAGGAAGGGATCCAGTTTCAGCTTTCTACATATGGCTAGCCAGTTTTCCCAGCACCATTTATTAAATAGGGAATCCTTTCCCCATTGCTTGTTTTTCTCAGGTTTGTCAAAGATCAGATAGTTGTAGATATGTGGCGTTATTTCTGAGGGCTCTGTTCTGTTCCATTGATCTATATCTCTGTTTTGGTACCAGTACCATGCTGTTTTGGTTACTGTAGCCTTGTAGTATAGTTTGAAGTCAGGTAGTGTGATGCCTCCAGCTTTGTTCTTTTGGCTTAGGATTGCCTTGGCAATGCAGGCTCTTTTTTGGTTCCATATGAACTTTAAAGTAGTTTTTTCCAATTCTGTGAAGAAAGTCATTGGTAGCTTCATGGGGATGGCATTGAATCTGTAAATTACCTTGGGCAGTATGGCCATTTTCACGATATTGATTCTTCCTACCCATGAGCATGGAATGTTCTTCCATTTGTTTGTATCCTCTTTTATTTCATTGAGCAGTGGTTTGTAGTTCTTGAAGAGGTCCTTCACATCCCTTGTAAGTTGGATTTCTAGGTATTTTATTCTTTTTGAAGCAATTGTGAATGGGAGTTCACTCATGATTTGGCTCTCTGTTTGTCTGTTGTTGGTGTATAAGAATGCTTGTGATTTTTGTACATTGATTTTGTATCCTGAGACTTTGCTGAAGTTGCTTATCAGCTTAAGGAGATTTTGGGCTGAGACAATGGGGTTTTCTAGATATACAATCATGTCGTCTGCAAACAGGGACAATTTGACTTCCTCTTTTCCTAATTGAATACCTTTTATTTCCTTCTCCTGCCTAATTGCCCTGGCCAGAACTTCCAACACTATGTTGAATAGGAGTGGTGAGAGAGGGCATCCCTCTCTTGTGCCAGTTTTCAAAGGGAATGCTTCCAGTTTTTGCCCATTCAGTATGATATTGGCTGTGGGTTTGTCATAGATAGCTCTTATTATTTTGAAATACGTCCCATCAATACCTAATTTATTGAGAGTTTTTAGCATGAAGGGTTGTTGAATTTTGTCAAAGGCTTTTTCTGCATCTATTGAGATAATCATGTGGTTTTTGACTTTGGCTGTTTTTATATGCTTGATTACATTTATTGATTTTCATATATTAAACCAGCCTTGCATCCCAGGGATGAAGCCCACTTGATCACGGTGGATAAGCTTTTTGATGTGCTGCTGGATTCGGTTTGCCAGTATTTTATTGAGGATTTTTGCATCAATGTTCATCAAGGATATTGGTCTAAAATTCTCTTTTTTGGTTGTGTCTCTGCCCGGCTTTGGTATCAGAATGATGCTGGCCTCATAAAATGAGTTAGGGAGGATTCCCTCTTTTTCTATTGATTGGAATAGTTTCAGAAGGAATGGTACCAGTTCCTCCTTGTACCTCTGGTAGAATTCGGCTGTGAATCCATCTGGTCCTGGACTCTTTTTCGTTGGTAAACTATTGATTATTGCCACAATTTCAGATCCTGTTATTGGTCTATTCAGAGAGTCAACTTCTTCCTGGTTTAGTCTTGGGAGAGTATATGTGTCAAGGAATTTATCCATTTCTTCTAGATTTTTTAGTTTATTTGCATAGAGGTGTTTGTAGTATTCTCTGATGGTAGTTTGTATTTCTGTGGGATTGGTGGTGATATCCCCTTTATCATTTTTTATTGTGCCTATTTGATTCTTCTCTCTTTTTTTCTTTATTAGTCTTGCTAGTGGTCTATCAATTTTGTTGATCCTTTCAAAAAACCAGCTCCTGGATTAATTAATTTTTGAAGGGTTTTTTGTGTCTCTATTTCCTTCAGTTCTGCTCTGATTTTAGTTATTTCTTGCCTTCTGCTAGCTTTTGAATGTGTTTGCTCTTGCTTTTCTAGTTCATTTAATTGTGATGTTAGGGTGTCAATTTTGGATCTTTCCTGCTTTCTCTTGTGGGCATTTAGTGCTATAAATTTCCCTCTACACACTGCTTTGAATGTGTCCCAGAGATTCTGGTATGTTGTGTCTTTGTTCTCATTGGTTTCAAAGAACATCTTTATTTCTGCCTTCATTTCGTTATGTATCCAGTAGTCATTCAGGAGCAAGTTGTTCAGTTTCCATGTAGTTGAGCAATTTTGAGTGAGATTCTTAATCCTGAGTTCTAGTTTGATTGCATGGTGGTCTAAGAGATAGTTTGTTATAATCTCCGTTCTTTTACATTTGCTGAGGAGAGCTTTACTTCCATGTATGTGGTCAATTTTGGAATAGGTGTGGTGTGGTGCTGAAAAAAATGTATATTCTGTTGTTTTGGGGTGGAGAGTTCTGTAGATGTCTATTAGGTCCGCTTGGTGCAGAGCTGAGTTCAATTCCTGGATATCCTTGTTGACTTTCTGTCTCATTGGTCTGTCTAATGTTGACAGTGAGGTGTTAATGTCTCCCATTATTAATGTGTGGGAGTCTAAGTCTCTTTGTAGGTCACTCAGGACTTGCTTTATGAATCTGGGTGCTCCTGTATTGGGTGCATATAGATTTAGGATAGTTAGCTCTTCTTGTTGAATTGATCCCTTTACCATTATGTAATGGCCTTCTTTGTCTCTTTTGATCTTTGTTGGTTTAAAGTCTGTTTTATCAGAGACTAGGATTGCAACTCCTGCATTTTTTTGTTTTCCATTTGCTTGGTAGATCTTCCTCCAACCTTTTATTTTGAGCCTATGTGTGCCTTTGCAGTTGAGATGGGTTTACTGAATACAGCACACTGATGGGTCTTGACTCTTTATCCAATTTGCCAGTCTGTGTCTTTTAATTGGAGCATTTAGTCCATTTACATTTAAAGTTAATATTGTTATGTGTGAATTTGATCCTGTCATTTTGATGTTAGCTGGTGATTTTGCTCGTTAGTTGATGCAGTTTCTTCCTAGTCTCGATGGTCTTTACATTTTGGCATGATTTTGCAGTGGCTGGTACTGGTTGTTCCTTTCCACGTTTAGCACTTCCTTCAGGAGCTCTTTTAGGGCAGGCCTGGTGGTGACAAAATCTCTCAGCATTTGCTTGTCTGTAAAGTATTTTATTTCTCCTTCACTTTTGAAGCTTAGTTTGGCTGGATATGAAATTCTGGGTTGAAAATTCTTTTCTTTAAGAATGTTGAATATTGGCCCCCACTCTCCTCTGGCTTGTAGGGTTTCTGCCGAGAGATCCACTGTTAGTCTGATGGGCTTCCCTTTGAGGGTAACCCGACCTTTCTCTCTGGCTGCCCTTAACATTTTTTCCTTCATTCCAACTTTGGTGAATCTGACAATTATATGTCTTGGAGTTGCTCGTCTCGAGGGGTATCTTTGTGTCATTCTCTGTATTTCCTGAATCTGAACGTTGGCCTGCCTTGCTAGATTGGGGAAGTTCTCCTGGATAATATCCTGCAGAGTGTTTTCCAGCTTGGTTCCATTCTCCCCATCACTTTCAGGTACACCAATCAGACGTAGATTTGGTCTTTTCACATAGTCCTATATTTCTTGGAGGCTTTGCTCATTTCCTTTCATTCTTTTTTCTCTAAACTTCACTTCTCGCTTCATTTCATTCATTTCATCTTCCATCACTGATACCCTTTCTTCCAGTTGATCGCATCAGCTCCTGAGGCTTCTGCATTCTTCATGTAGTTCTCGAGCCTTAGTTTTCAGCTCCATCAGCTCCTTTAAGCACTTCTCTGTATTGGTTATTCTAGTTATACATTCTTCTAAATTTTTTTCAAAGTTTTCAACTTCTTTGCCTTTGGTTTGAATGTCCTCCCGTAGCTCAGAGTAATTTGATCGTCTGAAGCCTTCTTCTCTCAGCTTGTCAAAGTCATTCTCCATCCAGCTTTGTTCCGTTGCTGGTGAGGAACTGCCTTCCTTTGGAGGAGGAGAGGCACTCTGCATTTTAGAGTTTCCAGTTTTTCTGTTCTGTTTTTTCCCCATCTTTGTGGTTTTATCTACTTTTGGTCTTTGATGATGGTGATGTACAGATGGGTTTTTGGTGTGGATGTCCTTTCTGTTTGTTAGTTTTCCTTCTAACAGACAGGACCCTCAGCTGCAGGTCTGTTGGAATACCCTGCCGTGTGAGGTGTCAGTGTGCCCCTGCTGGGGGGTGCCTCCCAGTTAGGCTGCTCGGGGGTCAGGTGTCAGGGGCCCACTTGAGGAGGCAGTCTGCCCGTTCTCAGATCTCCAGCTGTGTGCTGGGAGAACCACTGCTCTCTTCAAAGCTGTCAGACAGGGACATTTAAGTCTGCAGAGGTTACTGCTGTCTTTTTGTTTTTCTGTGCCCTGCCCCCACAAGTGGAGCCTACAGAGGCAGGCAGGCCTCCTTGAGCTGTGGTGGGCTCCACCCAGTTCAAGCTTCCTGGCTGCTTTGTTTACCTAAGCAAGCCTGGGCAATGGCGGGCCCCCCTCCCCCAGCCTCGCTGCCGCCTTACAGTTTGATCTCAGATTGCTGTGCTAGCAATCAGCGAGACTCCGTGGTCGTAGGACCCTCCGAGCCAGGTGCGGGATATAATCTCCTGGTGCGCCGTTTTTTAAGCCGGTCCAAAAAGCGCAATATTCGGGTGGGAGTGACCCTATCTTCCAGGTGCGTATGTCACCCCTTTCTTTGACTCCGAAAGGGAACTCCCTGACCCCTGGCACTTCCCAAGTGAGGCAATGCCTCACCCTGCTTCAGCTAGCATATGGTGTGCGCACCCACTGACCTGCGCCCACTGTCTGGCACTCCCTAGTGAGATGAACCCAGTACCTCAGATGGAAATGCAGAAATCACCTGTCTTCTGCATCGCTCACGCTGGGAGCTGTAGACCGGAGCTGTTCCTATTCGGCCATCTTGGCTCCTCCCCCGCCACGAGGAATTTTGAACTGCGTGGAGCCCATCACAGCTCATCAACTCCCCTGCGGCCAGACTGCCTCTCTAGATTCCTCCTCTCTGGGCAGGGCATCTCTGAAAAAAAGGTAACAGCCCATCAAGGACTTATAGATAAACCCCCCCTCTCCCTGGGACAGAGCACTTGGGAGAAGAGGTGGCTGTGGGTACAGCTTCAGCAGACTTAACTGTCCCTGACTGATGGCTCTGAAGACAGCAGCGGATCTCCCAGCACAGCATTCGATGTCTGATAAGGGTCAGACAGCCTCCCCAAGAGGGTCACTGACCCCTGTGTATCCTGACTGAGAGATACCTTCCAGTAGATGCCAACAGACATCTCATATACTAGAGCTCTGGCTGGCATCTGGCAGATGCCTCTCTGGGACAGGGCTTCCAGAGGAAGGAATAGGCCGAAATCTTTGCTGTTCTGAAGCCTCTGCTGGTGATACCCAGGGATACAGGGTCTGAAGTGGACCTCCAGCAAACTCCAGCAGACCTGCAGCAGAGGGCCTTGACTGTAAGAAGGAAAATTAACAAACAGAAAGAAATAGCATCAGCATCAACAAAAAGGAGGTCCACTCAGAGACGTCATTTGAAGGTCACCAACATCAGAGACCAAAGGTAAATGAATCCATGAAGATGGGGAGAAACCAGTTCAAAAAGGCTGAAAACTCCAAAAACCAGAACGTTTCTTCCCCTTCAAAGAATCACAACTCCTCACC
This sequence comes from Homo sapiens, assembly GCF_000001405.40. Taxonomy (NCBI): domain Eukaryota; kingdom Metazoa; phylum Chordata; class Mammalia; order Primates; family Hominidae; genus Homo; species Homo sapiens. The sequence goes on along the minus strand of NC_000023.11, from coordinate 76,266,661 downwards.
AGCGAGGAAACAAAACTGGATGGAGAATGAGTTTGATGATCTGACAGAAGTAAGCTTCAGAAGGTGGTAATAAGAAACCCCTCTGAGCTAAAAGAGCATGTTCTAACCCAATGCAAGGAAGCTAAGAACCTTGAAAACAGGTTAGATAAATTGCTAACTAGAATAACCAGTTTAGAGAAGAACAAACTTTGGGAAGCATGCACAAGTATCAATAGCCGAATCGATCAAGTGGAAGAAAGAATATCAGAGATTGAAGATCAACTTAATGAAATAAAGTAAGAAGACAAGATTAGAGAAAATAGAGTGAAAAGAAACAAACAAAGCCTTCAAGAAATATGGGACTATGTGAAAAGACCAAATCTACATTTGATTGGTGTACCTGAAAGTGATGGGGAGAATGAAACCAAGGTGGAAAACACTCTTCAGGATATTATCCAGGAGAACTTCCCCAATCTAGCAAGACAGGCCAAGATTCAAATTCAGGAAATACAGAGAACACCACATAGATATTCCTCGAGAAGAGCAACACCAAGACACATCATTGTCAAATTCACCAAGGTTGAAATGAGGAAAAAATGTTAAGGGCAGCCAGAGAGAAAGGTTGGGTTACCCACAAAGGGAAGCCCATCAGACTAACAGCAGATCTATCAGCAGAAACCCTACAAGCAAGAATACAGTGGGGGCCAATATTCAACATTGTTAAAGAAAATAATTTTCAACCCAGAATTTCATATCCAGCCAAAGTAAGCTTCATAAGTGAAGGAAAAATAAAATCCTTTACAGAAAAACAAACGCTGAGAGATTTTGTCACCACCAGGCCTGACTTACAAGAGCTTCTGAAGGAAGCACTAAACATGGAAAGAAACAACTGGAACCAGCCACTGCAAAAATATAACAAATTGTAAAGACCATCGACACTATGAAGAAACTGCATCAACTAATGGGCCGAATAACCAGCTAGCATCATACTGACAGGATCAAATTCACAATAACAATATTAACCTTAAATATAAACGGGCTAAATGCCCCCAATCAAAATAAAGGGATGGAAAAATATTTGCCAAGAAAATGGAAAGCAGAAGAAAGCAGGGTTTGCAATCCTAGTCTCTGAGAAAACAAAGTTTAAACCAACAAAGATCAAAAGAGACAAAGAAGGGCATTACATAAAGGTAAAGTGATCATTTCAACAAGAAGAACAAACCATCATAAATAGATATGCACCCAATACAGGAGCACCCAGATTCATAAAGAAAGTTCTTAGAGACATATAAAGAGACTCAGACTCCCACATAATAATAGTGGGAGAAATTAACTTCCCACTGTCAATATTAAACAGATGAATGAGACAGAAAATTAACAAGGATATTAAGGCCTTGAACTCAGCTCTGGACCAAGCAGGCCTGACAGACATCTACGGAATCCTCCACCACAAATTAACAGAATATACATTCTTCTCAACACAACATCGCACTTATTCTAAAATTGGCCACATAACTGGAAGTAAAAACTCCTCAGAAAATGCAAAAGAACGGAAATCATAACAAACAGTCTCTCAGACCACAGTGCAATCAAATTAAAACTCAGAACTAAGAAACTCACTCAAAATCGCACTACATATCAAAATCGCACTACATAGAAACTGAACAACCTGTTCCTGAGTGGCTACTAGGTAAATAACGAAATTAAGGCAGAAATAAGGATGTTCTTTGAAAGCAATGAGAACAAAGATACAACATCCCAGAAACTCTGGGATACATTTAAAGCAGATTTAGAGTGGAATTTATAGCACTAAATGCCCACAGGAGAAAGCAGGAAAGATCTAAAGTTGATACCCTAACATCACATTTAAAAGAACTATAGAAGCAAGAGAAAACAAATTCAAAAGCTAACAGAATATAAAAAAATAACTAAGATCAGAGCAGAACTGAAGGAGATGAAGACAGGAAATAACCTTTAAAAGATCAATGAATCCAGGATCTGTTTTTTGAAAAGATTAACAAAATAGATAGACAGCTAGGCAGGCTAATAAAGAAGAAAAGAGAGAAGAATCAAATGGATGCAATAAAAAAATGATAAAAAGGGTATCACCACTGATCCCAGAGAAATACAAACTACCATCAGAGAATACTATAAACACCTCAGTGCAAATAAACTAGAAAATCTGGAAGAAATGGTTACATTCCTGGACACATACACCCTCCCAAGAGTAAACCAGGAAGAAATTGAATTCCTGAATAGACCAAAAAAATTTATAAAATTGAGGCAGTAATTAATAGCATACCAATGAAAAAAAGTCCAGGATCAGATGGATTTAAAGACAAATTCTACCAGAGGTACAAAGAAGAACTGGTACCATTCCTTCTTAAACTATTCCAAAAAATAGAAAAAGAAGGACTCCTCCGTAACTCATTTTATGAGGCCAGCATCATCCTGATACCAAACCTGGCAGAGACACAACATAAAAAGAAAATTTCTGGCCAATATCCCTGATGAATATCAATGTGAAAATCCTCAATAAAATACTGGCAAAACGAACCCAGCAGCACATCAAAAAGCTTATCCACCATGGTCAAGTTTGCTTCATCCATGGGATGCAATGCTGGTTCAACATATGCAAATCAATAAATGTAATCCATCACATAAACAGAACCAATGACAAAAACCACATGATTATCTCAATAGATGCAGAAAAAGTCTTTGACAAAATTCAATATCCCTTCGCAATAAAACTCTTAATAAATTAGGTATTGATGGAACATATCTCAAAATATTAAAGCTATTTATGACAAACCCACAGCCAATATCTTACTGAATGGGCACAAGACAAGGATGCCCTCTCCCACTACATCTATTCAACATAGTACTGGAACTTCGGGCCAGGACAATGAGGCAAGAGAAATAAATAAAGGGTATTCAACTAGAAAAAGAGAAAGTCAAATTATCTTTGTTTGCAGATGACATGATTGTATATTTAGAAAACCCCATCATCTCAGACCAAAATCTCCTTAAGCTGATAAGCAACTTCAGTAAAGTCTCAGGACAAAAAATCCATGTGCAAAAATCACAAGCATTTCTATACACAAATAACAGACAAACAGACAGCCAAATCATGAGTGAACTCTCATTCACAATTGCTACAAAGAGAATAAAATACCTAGGAATACAACTTAAAAAGGATGTGAAGGACCTTTTCAAGAACTACAAACCAGTTCTCAAGGAAATAAGAGAGGACAAAAACAAATGAAAAATATTCCATGCTCATGGATAGAAGGAATCAATATCATGAAAATGGCCATACTGCCCAAAGTAATTTATAGATTCAATGCTATCACCATCAAGCTCCAACTGACTTTCTTCACAGAATTTTAAAAAACTACTCTAAATTTCATATGGATCCAAAAAAGAGCCCACACAGCCAACAGAATCCTAAGCAAAAAAGCAAAGCTGGAGGCATCACACCATCTGACTTCAAATTATACTACAAGGCTAAAATAATCAAAACAGCATGGTACTGGTACAAAACAGATATATTGACCAATGTAACAGAACAGAGGCCTCAGAAATAACACCACACATATACAATCCTCTGGTCTTTGACAAACCTGACAAAAACAAGCAATGTGGAAATAATTTCCTATTTAATAAATGGTGTTTGGAAACTGGCTACCCATATGCAGAAAACTAAAACTGGATCACTTTCTTACACCTAATACAAAAATTAACTCAAGATGAATTAAGACCTAAAACCATAAAAAAACATAGAAGAAAAACTAGGCAATACCATTCAGGACATAGGCATGGGCAAAGACTTCATGACTGAGACATCAAAAGCAATGACAACAAAAGCCAAAATTGACAAATGGGATCTAATTAAACTAAAGAGCTTTTGCACAGCAAAAGAAACTATCATCAGAGTGAACAGGCAACCTACAGAATGGGAGAAAATTTTTGCAATCTATTCATCTGACAAAGGGCTAATACCACGAATCTACAAAGAACTCAAAGAAATTTACAAGAAAAAAACAAACAACCCCATCAAAAAGTTGGCAAAGGATATGAACAGACGTTTCTCAAAAGACGACATTTACCAGCCAAGAAACATATGAAGAAAATAAAAGCTCATCATCACTGATCATTAGAGAAATGCAAATCAAAACCACAGTGAGATATCATCTCACACCAGTTAGAATGGCAATTATTAAAAAGTCAGGAAACAGCAGATGCTGGAGAGGATGTGGAGAAATAGGAAAGCTTTTACACTGCTGGTGGTAGTGTAAATTAGTTTAACCATTGTGGGAGACAGTGTGGCAACTCCTCAAAGATCTAAAACTAGAAATACTGTTTAACACAGCAATCCCATTATTGGGTATATACCCAAAGGATTATAAATCATTCTACTATAAAGACACATGCACATGTATGTTTATTGCAGCACTGTTCACAATAGCAAAGACATGGAACCAACCCAAATGCCCATCAATGATAGACTAGATAAAGAAAATGTGACATATATACATCATGGAATACTATGCAGCCATTAAAAAATGAGTTCGTCTCCTTTGCTGGGACATGGATGAAGCTGAAAACCATCATTCTCAGCAAACTAACACAAGAACAGAAAACCAAAGGAAACATGTTCTCACTCATAAGTGGGAATTGAACAATGAGAACACACACACACAGGGAGAGAGGTATCACACAATGGGGCCTCTCAGGGGGTGGGGGATAGGTGAGGAATAGCATTAGGAGAAATACCTGATGTAGATGATGGGTTGACAGGTGCAGCAAACCACCTTGCCATGTGTATACATATGTAACAAACCTACACGTTCTGCAAATATACCCCGGAACTTAAAGTATAATAATAATAATAAAAGAATTAATAGAGGATAATTGCTTGAACCCAGGAGGTGGAGGTTGTGGTGAGCCGAGATTGCGCCACTGAACTCCAGCCTGGGTGACAGAGCAATACTCTGTCAAAAAAAAAAAAAAAAAAAAAAAGAGAGAGAGAGAGAGATTTAAGAGCAAGATGGCCAAATAGGAACAGCTCCGGTCTGCAGCTCCCAGCATGATGGACGCTGATGACAGGTGATTTCTGCATTTCCAACTGAGGTACCTGATTCATCTCATTGGGACACGTTGGACAGTGGGTGCAGCCCACAGAGGGTGAACTGAGGCAAGGCGGGACATCACTTCACCCGGGAAGTGCAAGGGGTTGGGGGATTTCTCTTTTCTAGCCAAGGGAAGTCATGACAGGCTACCTGGAAAAAAGGAGCACTCCTGCCCAAATACTGCACTTTTCCCAAGATCTTCCCATGCCTGGCTTGGCGGTCCCATGCTCACAGAGCCTTGCTCACTGCTGGCACAGCTGTCTGAGATCGATCTGTGAGGCAGCAGCCTGGCTGCGGGAGGGGCATCTGCTATTGCTGAGGCTTGAGTAGGTAAACAAAGCTGCCAGGAAGCTAGAACTGGGCAGAGCCCACTGCAGCCTACTGCCTCTAGATTTCACCTCTGTGAGCAGGGCATAGCTGAACAAAAGGCATCAGACAACTTCTGCAGACTTAAATGTCCCTGTCTGACAGCTCTGAAGAAGACAGTGGTTCTCCCAGCACAGCGTTTGAGCTCTGAGAACGGACAGACAGCCTGCTGAAGTGGGTCGCTTAACTCTGTGTAGCCTAACTGAAAAACACCTCCCAGTAGGGGCTGACAGACACCTCATATAGGCAGCTGCCACTCTGGGACGAAGCTTCCAGAGGAAGGATCAGGTAGCAATATTTGCCATTCTGCAATATTTGCTGTTCCGCAGCCTCCGCTGGTGATACCCAGGCAAACAGGGTCTGGAGTGGAACTCCAGCAAACTCCAACAGACCTGCAGCTGAGGGACCTGACTTCTAGAAGGAAAACTAACAAACAGAAAGGAATAGCATCAACATCAACAAAAAGGTCATCTACACCAAAACCCCATCTGCAGGTCACCAACACCAAAGACCAAAGGTAGATAAAACCACAAAGATGGGGACAAACCAGAGCAGAAAAGCTGAAAATTCTAAAAACCAGAGTGCCTGTTCTCCTCCAAAAGATCGCAGCTCCTCGCCAGCAATGGAACAAAGCTGGACAGAGAATGACTTTGATTAGGTGACAAAAGTAGACTTCAGAAGGTCGGTAATAACAAACTTCTGCGAGCTAAAGGAGGATGTTTGAAACCATTGCAAGGAAGCTAAAAGCCTTGAAAAAAGGTTAGATGAATGGCTAACTAGAATATCCAGTGTAGAGAAGACCTTAAATGACCTAATGGAACTGAAAACCATGGCATGGGAACTTTGTGAGGCATGCACAAGCTTCAATAGCCAATTCGATCAGGTGGAAGAAAGGGTATCAGTGATTGAAGATCAAATTAACGAAATAAAGTGAGAAGACAAGGTTAGAGAAAAAAGAGTAAACAAACAAAGCCTCCAAGAAATATGGGACTAAGTGAAAAGACCAAATCTACATTTGATTGGTCTACCTGAAAGTGCTGGGAAGAATGGAGCCAAGTTGGAAAACACTCTTCAGGATATTATCCAGGTGAACTTCCCCAACATAGCGAGGCAGGCCAACATTCAAATTCAGTAAATACAGAGTGTTCTGTATTTAAATGTGTCCAAGAAATTCTGGTACGTTGTGTCTTCATTCTCTTTGGTTTCAAAGAACACCTTTATTTCTGCCTTCATTTCATTATTTACCCAGTAGTTATCAGGAGCAAGTTGTTCAGTTTCCATGTAGTTGTGCAGTTTTGACTGAGTTTATTAATACACCATAAAGATACTCCTCAAGAAGAGCAACCCCAAGACACATAATGGTCAGATACACCAAGGTTGAAATGAAGGAAAAAGTGTTAAGAGCAACCAGAGAGAAAGGTCGAGTTACACACAAAGGGAAGCCCATCAGACTATCAGCAGATCTATTGGCCGAAACCCTACAAGCAAGAAGACAGTGGAAGCCAACATTCAACATTCTTAAAGAAAATAATTTTCAAACCAGAATTTCATATCCAGCCAAACTAAGCTTCATAAGTGAAGAAGAAATAAAATCCTTTACAGAGAAGCAAATGCTGAGAGATTTTGTCACCACCAGGCCTGCCCTACAAGAGATCCTGAAGGAAGTACTAAACACAGAAAGGAACAACCGGTACCAGCCACTCCAAAACATGCCAAATTGTAAAGACCATTGATGCTAGGAAGAAACTGCATCAATTAACAGGCAAAATAACCAGCGAACATCATAATGACACAATCAAATTCACACATAACAATATTAACCTTAAATGTAAATGGGCTAAAAGTTCCAATTAAAAGACACAGACTAGCAAATTGGATAAAGAGTCAAGACCCATCAGTGTGATGTATTCAGGAGACCCATCTCAACTGCAAAGGCACACATAGGCTCAAAATAAAGGGATGGAGGAAGATCTACCAAGCAAATGGAAAGCAAAAAATAAAGCAAGGGTTGCAATCCTAGTCTCTGATAAAACAGACGTTAAACCAACAAAGATCAACAGAGACAAAGAAGGACATTACATAATGGTAAAGAAATCAATTCAACAGGAAGAGCTAACTATCCTAAATATATATGCACCCAATACAGGAGCACCCAGATTCATAAAGCAAGTCCTTAGAGACCTACAAGGAGACGTAGACTCCCACACAATAATAACGGGAAACTTTAACACCCCACTGTCAACATTAGAAAGATAAACAAGACAGAAGGTTAACAAGGATATCCAGGACCTGAACTCAGCTCTGCAACAAGCAGACCTAATAGACATCTACAGAACTCTCCACCCCAAATCAACAGAATATACATTCTTCTCAGCACCATATCACACTTACTGTAAAATTAACCACATAATTGGAAGTAAAGTACTCCTCAGCAAATGTAAAAGAACAGAAATCACAACAAACAGTCTCCCAGACCACAGTGCAATCAAATTAGAACTCAGGATTAATAAACTCAGTCAAAACTGCACAACTACATGGAAACTGAACAACTTGCTCCTGATAACTACTGGGTAAATAATGAAATGAAGGCAGAAATAAAGGTGTTCTTTGAAACCGAAGAGAATGAAGACACAACATACCAGAATTTCTTGGACACATTTAAAGCAGTGTGTAGAGGGAAATTTATAGCACTAAAGGGCCACAAGAGAAAGCAGAAAAGATCTAAAATTGACACCCTAACATCAAAATTAAAAGAACTAGAGAATCAAGAGCAAACATATTCAAAAGCTAGCAGAAGGCAAGAAATAACTAAAAGCAGAGCAGAACTGAAAGAGATAGAGACACAAAAATCTCTTCAAAAAATCAATGAATCCAGGAGCTGGTTTTTTGAAAAGATCAACAAAATTGGTAGACCGCTAGCAAGACTAATAAAAAAGAAAAGAGAGAAGAATCAAACAGATGCAATAAAAAATGATAAAGGGAATATCACCACCGATGCCACAGAAATACAAACTACCTTCAGAGAATACTATAAACACCTCTATGCAAATAAACTAGAAAATCTAGAAGAAATGGATAAATTCCTCGACACGTACACCCTATCAAGACTAAACCAGGAAGAAGTTGAATCCCTGAATAGACAAATAACAGGCTCTGAAATTGAGGCAATAATTAATAGCCTACCAACAAAAAAAAGCATGCACAATTCTACCAAGGTACAAACAGGAGCTGGTAGCTTTCCTTCTGAAACTAGTCCAATCAATAGAAAAAGAGGGAATCTTCCCTAACTCATTTTATGAGGCCAGCATCATCCTGAGACCAAAGACTGGCAGAGACACAACAAAAAAAGAGAATTTTAGACCAGTATCCCTGATGAACATCTATGCGAAAAACCTCAATAAAATACTGGCAAACCAAATCCAGCAGCACATCAAAAACTTATCCACCATGATCAAGTCGGCTTCATCCCTGGCATGCAATACTGGTTCAACATACCCAAATCAATAAACGTAAATCATCAGAAAACAGAACCAATGACAAAAACCACATGATTATCTCAGTAAATGCAGAAAAGACCTTCAACAAAATTCAACAGCCCTTCATGCTAAAAACTATCAATAAACTAGGTTTTGATGGAACGTATCTTAAAATAATAAGAGCTATTTATGACAAACCTACAGCCAATATCATACTGAATGGGCAAAAACTGGAAGGATTCCCTTTGAAAACTGGCACAAGACAATGATGCCCTCTCTCACCACTCCTATTGAACATAGTATTGGAAGTTCTCGCCAGGTCAATCAGGCAAGAGAAAGAAATAAAGGGTATTCAATTAGGAAAAGAGGAAGTCAAATTGTCTCTGTTTGCAGATGACATGATTGTATATTTAGAAAACCCCATCGTCTCAGCCCAAAATCTCCTTAATTGAAGCTGATAAGCAGCTTCAGCAAAGTGTCAGGATAGAAAATCAATGTGCAAAAATCACAAGCATTCCTATACACAATTAACCAACAAACAGAGAGTCAAATAATCAGTGAACTCCCATTCACGTTAGCTACAAAGAGAATAAAATACCTGGGAATTCAACTTACAAGAAATGTGAAGGACCTCTTCAAGGAGAACTACAAACCACTGCTCAACGAAATAAAAGAGGACACAAACAAATGGAAGAACATTCCATGCTCATGGATAGGAAGAATCAATATTGTGAAAATGGATATACTGCTCAAAGTAATTTATGGATTCAATGCCATCCCCATCAAGCTACCAATGACTTTCTTTACAGAATTGGAAAAAACTACTTTAAAGTTCATATGGATCCAAAAAAGAGCCTGCATTGCCAAGTCAATCCTAAGCCAAAAGAACAAAGCTGGAGGCATCACACTAGCTGACTTCAACCTACACTAAAAGGTTACAGTAACCAAAACAGGATGATACTTGTACCAAAATAGAGATATAGACCAATGGAACAGAGCAGAGCCCTCAGAAATAATACCACACATCTACAACCATCGGATCTTTTACAAACTTGACAAAAACAAGAAATTGGGAAAGGATTCCCTATTTAATAAATGGTGCTGGGAAAACTGGCTAGCCATATGTAGAAAGCTGAAACTGGATCCCTTCCTTACACCTTATACAAAAATTAATTCAAGATGGATTAAAGACTTAAATGTTAGACCTAAAACCATAAAAACCCTAGAAGAAAACCTAGGCAATACCATTCAGGACATAGGCATGGGCAAGGACTTCATGTCTAAAACACCAAAAGCAAGAGCAACAAAAGACAAAATTGACAAATGGGATCTAATTAAACTAAAGAGCTTCTGCACAGCAAAAGAAACTACCATCAGAGTGAACAGGCAACATACAGAAATGAGAGAAAATTTTTGCAATCTACCCATCTGACAAAAGGCTAATATCCAGAATCTACAAAGAACTCAAACAAATTTACAAGAAAAAAAACAAACAACCCCATCAAAAAGTGAGCAAAGGAAATGAACAGACACTTCTCTAAAGAAGACATCTATGCAGCCAACAGACATGAGAAAATACTCATCATCACTGGTCATCAGAGAAATGCAAATCAAAACCACAATGAGATACCATCTCACGCCAGTTAGAATAGCAATCATTAAAAAGTCAGGAAGCAACAGATGCTGGAGAGGATGTGGAGAAATAGGAATGCTTTTACACTGCTGGTGGGAGTGTAAATTTGTTCAACCATTGTGGAAGACAGTGTGGTGATTCCTCAAGGATTTAGAACTAGAATTACCATTTGACCCAGCAATCCCATTACTGCGTATATACCCAAAGGATTATAAGTCATGCTACTATAAAGACACATGCAAACATATGTTTATTGCAGCACTATTCACAATAGCAAAGACTTGGAACCAACCCAAATGTCCATCAATGATAGACTGAATTAAGAAAATGTGGCACATATACACCATGGAATACTATGCAGCCATAGAAAAGGATGGGTTCATGTCCTTTGCAGGGACATGGATGAAGCTGGGAACCATCATTCTGAGCAAACTATCGCAAGGACAGAAAACGAAACACCACATGTTCTCACTCATAGGTGGGAATTGAATCATGAGATCACTTGGACACAGGGTGGGGAACATCACACACTGAGGCCTGTCGTGGGGTGGGTGGCTGGGGGAGGAACAGCATTAGGAGAAATACCTAATGTAAATGACGAGTTGATGGGTGCAGCGAACCAACATGGCAACTATATACCTATGTATCAAACCTGCACGTTGTGCACATGTACCCTAGAACTTAAGGTACAAAAAAAAGAAAAAATAAGAATATTGTTAAAATATCAATACTACTGAAAGCAATCTATAGATTCAATTTAATCATTATCAAAATACCAATTACATTTTTCACAAATTTAGAAAAAGTAATTCTAAAATTCTTACAGTATCACAAAAGATGTCAAATCGCTATAGCAATCTTGAGCATAAAGTACGAAGTTGGCTCGGGCATGTCTAAAATGTCATCTGGAAGCTAGGGCCTGGAACAGTGCCCCACAACTCTGAGAAGTGCCCTATGCTGCTTTGGCTTAGCTGGCATTTAAGATGCAAGACAAACTTCTCACCACTCTTTTCTCTCCTCCCTACAACTGGAAGAATGGGGTCTCTTTTGGACCCATGCTTTGCAGCCTAGTTTCAGGGGATGGGTGATGCCAGCACTCTGTTAGTTGCCCCAGCTGGTGTCTCAGTAGGTTGCATGCCCCACTAGTCTACTCTCTCTGGGCCTAGTCCAGTACTAGTACTCATCTAAGAGTTGCAGGCCTTGTGGCCTAGACTGCCTTTCTCCTATGTTACATAAATAACCTGTTAATCTGCATAATAGATTATGTAAATAGCCTATTAACCTATTAATCTATGAATGAGCTGGGAATCCAGCATCTAGTTCAAACACTAAATTTCCTTGCAGGCAGAGGGTATGAAGTGTCCAAGTGTCCAAGTGTCCAAGTCACAACTACTAAGACAAGAGGTTAAATACCCAGAGGGTATGAAGTGTCCAACTATCCAAGTCACAACTACTAAGACAAGAGGTCCAATGCCTGGGGATAATCCTGACCTGTGGAGATCCTAAATTCTCCCCAGAATGAATATAGGTCATCCTTAAAATACCTACCCCAACCACCCAAAAGCTACTTCAGGCCTTTCTGGGAATCACAGGATATTGCAGACTTTGGATACCGGGGTATGATAGAATTGTTAAGTCCTTAATCAGACTTAAAAAAAATGACTAATAGAAACTCGCTTTTCTGGGGAAAATATCAGGAGCAAGCTTTTAGGCAGCTAAAAACTGCCCTCTCACAAGTTCTAGCCCTTGGACCACCCATACTAACCAAACCATTTCAGCTTTTTGTTACTGAAAGACAAGTTGTAGCCTTAGGAGTCCTAATTCAAACCATAGGGCTAATCAAATCTCCAGTAGGTACCTTTTCAACGAACCTAGACCCAGTTGCATGAGGGTGACCACACTGCCTCAAGATAGTGAGTGCAGCAGGGCTCCTATACTAGGAGGCCCTCAAAATCACCATGGGACAGTTAATCCAGATCCTGCCATCACACCATACAGGCCCCTTATTGAACATAAAAGGGCCACAATGGTTCACTGACAACAAACTGTTGAAGTACCAGGGCCTGTTACTAGAAAACCCACAGGTAACAGTTTAGCGGTACTCCATCCTCAACTCAGCCAACCTTACTTCCACTACCAGGAAACAATAACCTGGCACATTTATGCTGTGAAATACTTAACCAAATTTATGCCAGCTTGGAGGACTTAGAGGATCAGCTTCTGGACAATCCAAACAAAATATGATTTTCAGATGGGAGTAGTTTTATCTGGAATAGAGCTAGACATGCAGGGTACTTTATAGTGTCCCTTTCCCAAGTCATAGAGATAAAAGCTCTGTCCCGTGGGGACCTCAGCACAACTAGTGGAACTCATCACGTTGACAAGGGCAGTACAGATCCCAAATCTTAGATCTACTAGATGCTGTTCACTTGACCCAGGAGGTGGCAGTAGTACCCTGTGAGAGACACCAGAGGGGCTCCAATGAAACTGCACAAGAAAATAGGATGACCAACCCCAAACTAAAGAGGCAGCTGTCTCAAAGGATACTTACCTGGGGCCTTACTCCCATTGCTCCCCACTGAATTATCCCCTCTCCAATACACTCAGGAAGAAATAAATTGAACCACCCAACGTAGGTATCAAAAAGAAACCAATAAATGGTACAAACTTGGGGAACTTCTCCATCTACCAAGGGCCTCCCAAGGGTAGAAGGTCATCACGAGTTCACACAACTCCTGCCACGTTGAAAAGGACAATCTACGGCAAATATGTAAATTAATGTTTAGTAGTGTATTATTCCATTCTTGCATTGCTGTGAAGAAATGCCTGAGACTGGGTAATTTATAAAGAAAAGAGGTTTAATTGTCTCATACTTCTACAGGCTGTACAAAAAGGCTAGCTACCTTTCACAAGAACACCACCAAGAGGATGATGCTAAACAATTCATGAAGGATCCACCCCCATAATTCAACAACCTCCCACCAGGCCTCATCTGCAACAATTTGACATGATATTTGGTTAAGACACAGATCCAAACTATATCAAGTAGATAGGAAGAGAATAAACAAAACTATTCAACATGTTTGTCAACCTTTCAACTTGTGCATCATAAGTAATCCCCAAAGAGGGAAGCCCCCAAGTCCAACCCAAAGGACAGGTACATACCCTGGGGAGGACTGGCAGTTGCACTATACTCAGCTCACCACATGCTGCGGGCATAAGTACTTCTTGGTCTGTGTAGACACCTTCACAGGATGGGTACAGGCCTATCCCACAAGGACTGAAAAGACACAAGAGGCAGCTAATTCCTCCTAAGGGAACTCATTCCCCAATTCAGGCTTCCTAGGTCACCGCAAATAGACGATGGTCCATCCTTAATTTCCCAAACGAATCAGCAGGTCAGTTCTGCCTAGGCATAAAAGGGTACCTTCACTTTGCCTGGAGACCACCATCTTCAGGGAACCTGAAAAGAACTAGCTAAACCCTCAAACACATCCTCAATAAACTCTGTCAGGAAACAGTACAGACATGGGTGGACCTCTTACCTTTAGTTCTCCTTCAGATTTGTGTTGCCTCTCAGACCCCTTTGCAATTAAGCCCCTTCAAGGCCTTATATGTTAGGCCATTCCTGTATTCTGACTTACTGCTAGATGAAGAAACTGCTAAAATCAACCAGTATGTCTCTTTTCTAGCAGACCTCCATCAAGCCCTCCAGGAATATGGGTTAAAAACAAACACAAAATTAGAAGAGAAAAAATCTCCACCTCTATATCCTCCAAACTCACTGGTTCTCCTCAAAGCTTGGAAGAATAGAACCCCAAATTCCCAACTAACTCCAGTCAAAGAGAGACCCTTTACTGTTGCATTTTCTATTTCTACCCTCACGGCCATTAAAGTAACAGAGATTAGCAGCTGGATACACTACACCTGAGTGAAGTATTGGAAAGGCCCTTAAACACTGGAACTGAATCCAACGACTTCAACTCCAGAATACATTGTGAACAATTGAAGGATCTGAAATTCCTCTTTAGATGGAAAGATAACCAATGCCTCCGCAGATCCTTTCACCTCAAAGTAATATAATTCCAATATTAGGAATACTGTTTGCAATAGCATCACTTATTCACCTTATTTTAACCCTAACCTGTATGCCCCCCCAAAGTCCCAAGAGAAACTACTTTGTTGCTAATTTTTCTTCACCTTAACTTACTTTCGGGCAATTCCCTTTACAACTTGATTTGTTACTAATTTCTCTTTTTCACAATCTCATTATGGCACCATGGGCCCACTCCTGCTAATTCTCATTTTCACCTCTTTACTAGCAGCACAGTACCATCTTGATTTTTCTTAATTGGAAAAAGCACTACAGTTGCTTCAAAGCACAGAATTTCCTTACTCCAACAACTGCTGGTTATGCACTAGCTCTTCTTCTAAAACACCAGAGATAACTTATCCTGTGTCGCCCAGAGATTGGATGAGAATAGAGGCAGAACTACACATTTTGTATCAATGGCATCGTAATCTAAAAGGAATAATCAGGTCTTCAAATAGGCTTCTTACAAAAGTAAAGCAAGATTTCCCTGATACCTGTGAGAAGTCTCCCATTTTTGAGCCCCTCTTTACTAATATCACCTTAGTGGGGACAGCCCCTATTTGTGTCATAATCAAAAAGGAAAATGGAATGGATGTAAGTGCTCTTCCCAGTACAGTCTATAATGTCACTATCACCATAGACTCTAGCCAACAGATCTACCAAACATACCCCCACAGCCAGGTCCAACATCAACCAGTATTTCCCAAACCTCCAAGTATTACCTTTCCTCAAGGGACACTGCAAGATAAATCCACTCAGTTTTGTCGAGAATGCCCAAACACATGCAGTACTCAAAATTTCTGGTTCCATCCTACTGATTACACCCATGTATGCAAATTGCCAATCTCAGTGCTACAGAAGAAAGGGTTCTATTGGAACAAACTCAAAATTCTCTTTTTTGGGAGAATAGAAACAAGGGAGCTAATCAGAGCCACACCTCATGCACCCAAATCTTGGCGGTCATGACCATATCCACCATCAATCTGAGCAAGTCAGCAACCTCAGGATTTTCTATACCTACTTTTACCCCCTTATTTGGTTTTGACATCTCTATTTGTCTTAAAACCTGAGAAGTCTTTCATATTGTTGGTCATTCAGTTCACCAATGCCTCCCCACTGAATGAACTGGAACTTATACTATATGCTATGTATCCCTGGACATCTTCATAGCTCCTGGAAATCACTCCCTTCCAATACCAATCCATGGGCATTCCATCTTGCCCAGGTTGAGGAGGGCTATCCAATTAATTCCACTTCTTGTGGGACTCGACATCAGAGCCAGTACAGGAGCAGAAATTGCTGGAGTCACACATGCCTCCTAAACCTATAGCCAACTCTCAACAGAAATAGCCAACAGTATTGATGCCATGGCTAAAACCTTAGCAGCCATGCAAGAAAAAATTGACTCTTTCACAGCCATGGTCCTCTAGAAATGCCAAGAGCCATATATGTTAATGGTAGCACAGGGAAGAATTTGTTTAACCTTAGATGAAAAATGTTGTTTCTGGGTAAATCAATTAGGAAAAATGCAAGACAGCATCAGACAACTCAAAAATCAAGCCTCCCATTTATGAGAACAATTTATGAGAAATTAAGAAGGAACCTGAAATGGTTTTTCTGGACTTTTCCCTTTTTAGGCCATCTTTTCATTCTATTACTTTTGCTCCTTTTTGGTCCATATCTTCTCAATCTAATAACCCAATTTTTCTCCTCTTGCATTCAAGCTGTCAAGCTCCAGAAGATCATCAGTGAAGGATAAGTAAAGGATACTGTCCTCTCAATACTCACGAGTCAGCCTTCTATAGGGGACCACTGGATTGCCCATCAGCGGAATATGACAGAGGCAAAACCCTACCTGTGTTCATTGAACCTGGTTGGGCACCACTGTTGCTGGCCTATGGAGCCACCCTTCCCTGACAACTAGCAAGAGTCTGAGACCCATGGGCCAAACACTGCCCCTCTGTCAGCAAGAAGCAGTTACAGAAGACTGACCTTCACCCATTATCCCAAAGAATTGGGTCTCAGACTTTTGAAGGCAGAATGTTAGAGTAGGTAGTTATACAGATATGAGCAGAGTGGGAGAGGGCCCTGCCAAAATGGCAGGCACTCACTGGCTGATAACCGGGTGATTATACAACTTCTTCTTCTAGGATAATAAGTGAGGGCCCTAGAAATGTAGGCACTCATTAGATGATGGTTAGGCAATCATAAAACTGTTTCTCTGAAATGATAAGTGGCCACGACTGGCACTAAGCGGTAGAGAAGTTCCCAAAGGATAGGAGATATCTGGAGCCAGCAAACCACAATTCCTTGATAAGGTCTTAAATATGCACAGTAGGGGGCAAAATGACCAAGTTTGACTGGTATATGGCCTTCCTCTGGGGGCACTCGATCAGTAAAAGAAATGCCCCAAGTGAGCATGGGCACAACCTCAGTAAACACACTGCACATGTGGCCCCTCGAAAGTGATGACAGGTCACTGTTCATGAATCAAAGAAATATCCCAGCCCAAGGGAGGGATAAATCAAGGGAATAGAAAAGAAAACCTGGAACCAATACAGGATATAAAAATCCCAAGCCACAGACTGAGCATGGCACTTGATCTCTCAAGTTCCTCTCTTGGCCATCTTCCAAATGTACTTTGCTTCTTTTAACAAAACTCTGCCTCTGCTTTAAAATTTGCCTCCATCTCTCAGTTGAACTCTTTTTTCTAAGAAGACAAGGGCTGGAATTGCTGTGGAAATGCCACCAGTTGCAGACCCATCGCTGGTAACACACCCAACACTGAAGCACCCAGATATGTGAAAATCGAGCAAGATATAATTAGAGCTAAAGAGAAATATAGAGTCCAATACAATAATACAATAATAGTTAGAGACTTCAATGCCTCACTTTCAGCACTGGACAGATCTTTCAGACAAAAAAATGTACAAAGAAATATCAGACTTCATTTGAACTATAGAACAAATGGATCTAATGATTTACAGATATTTCATGCAATGGCTACAAAATACACATTCTTTGCCTCAACACATTAATCATTCTCAAGGATAGACCATATGTTAGGTTATAAAACAAGTCTTAAAACATTTTAAAAAAGTGAAATAATATTAAGCATATTCTCTGACCACAACGGAATAAAACTAGAAATTAATAAGAAGAGCAACTTTGAAAACTATGAAAATACATAAAAATTAAACAATATGCTCCTGAATTACCAGGGCATCAATGAGGGAATTTAGAAAAAAAAATGAAAAAATTATTAAAGGAAATGATAATGGAAATAAAACATACCAAAATCTATGGGATACAGCAAAAGTTGTATTAAGATGAAAATTTATAGCTATAAGTGGCAACATCAAAAAAAGAAAAACTTCAAAGTAGCAATTTAGTGATACATCTTAAAGAACTAGAAAAGCAAGAGCAAACAAAATATGAAGTTAGTAGAAGAAAAGAAATAATAAATATCAGAGCAGAAATAAATAAAATTAAATGAAAAAATACAAAACATCAATGAAACAAAAAGTTTGTTTTTTTAAAAAGCTAAACAAAATTGAAAAATCTTTAGCCAGATTAACAAAGAAAAAAAGAAAGAAGATCCAAGTAAATAAAATCAGACATGAAAAAGGAGACATTACAGCAGATACTGCAGAAATTCAAAAATCACTAGTGGCTACTATGAACCAATCATTAGTGGCTACTATAAGCCAATAAATTTGAAAACCTAGAAGAAATTGACAAATTTCTAGACACATACAACATACCTAGATTGAACAAGAAAGAAATCCAAAACCTGAAAAGACCAACAACAAGTAACAAGATCGAAGCCATAATAATAAGTTTTTGAGTAAAGAGAAGCCCAGGACCAAATGACTTAACTGCTGAATTCTACCAAACATTTAAAGAACTAATACCAATTGTACTCAAACCATTCCAAGAAATAGAGGAGAGAATACTTCCAAACTCATTCTATAAGCCAATGTTATCCTGATACAAAAACCAAAGACACATGGAATAAAGGAAATTACAGGCCAATATCACTGATGAATATTGATGCAAAAATCTTCAACAAAATATGAGCAAGTGGAATTCAAAATACGTTAGTTAGATTATCACTGGGAAGAGGGATTTATTCTCAGGATGTCAGAACGGTTCAACATATGCAAATCAATGTAATACATCATATCAAATGAAGGATAAAACCATATGATCATTTTAATTGATGCTGAAAAACCATTTGATAAAATCAAATGCCCTTTTATAATAAAAACCCTAAAAAAACTTGGTATAGAAGGAATATACTTCAACGTAATAAAAGGCATATATGACAGACCCACAGTTAGTGTTATCCTGAATGGGGAAAAACTGAAAGCCTTTCCTCTAAGATCTGGAACACAAGGATGCCCACTTGCACCACTGTTATTCAAAATAGTATTGAAAGTTCAAGCTGCAAAATCAGACAAGAGAATGAAATGAAAGGTATCCAAATTGAAAGGAAAGGAGTCATATTTTCCTTATTTGCAAAAGATATAATCTTATATTTGAAAAAACCTAAAGACTCAACAAAAAACTATTAGGACTGATAATTTCAGTTAAGTTAGAGGATACAAAACTAATTTACAAAAATCAGTAGCATTTCTATAGTCCAACAGTGAACAATCTGAAACACAAATTTAAAAACTACACAATAGAATACTATGCATCCATAAAGACGATGGCAATCCTGTTATTTGCGACAATGTGGATGAACTGGAGGGCATTATCTTAAATCAAATAAGCCAAATACAGAAAGAAAAATACTACATGATCTTATTCATATGTGGAATCTTAAAAAGTTGAGAGTAGAATGGTGGTTACCAAAGGCAGGGGTATTTAGCAGGGAGTGGGAATTTGAGAGATGGTGGCCAAAGAATGCGTAGCTATAGTTACATAAAAGAAATAAGTTCAAGAGATCTACTGTGCAACGTGGTCACTATAGTGGTGATGATATATTGTATTTTTAAAAAACACACAAGAATTGAATGTTAAGGGATCTCACCACAAAAATTTTGACTATGTGAGGTGATGCATTTGTCGATTGCCTGGATTTAACCATTTTACAGTATATGTATATACTTAAATGTCATGCTGCACATAATAAATACATACAAATTAATCTGTCAATTTAAATAAATGCATAAAAATGTTGAGAACCTTAAATAATAATAAGCCTTCTCATATATTGAGACAAGATTCTGGAAGAGAGTAAGGGGAAAACAGATATAACTAGGGAGTTTAACTTTGAATTGACCAGTGAAACAATAAGGAACACTTCTGAGAAAAGGCTGAGAAGCCATTATTCACAGTTACTCTCCCCACTTTATCTTCCCCAGAGGAAAACTGGGACTCTAAAATAAAATGTGGCCACTTTGCCGAAAATGAAAAGTTATATTTTCTTTGTACAACTGGGTGCTCGTAGGAGTTAATCTGGGGACCTTAACCAGAATCTATATAAAGTGTCTATCTAAAACATGAGCGGATGATAACTGTGCTAAGTTAGCACAAAGGGAAAAATATGTATGACAGCACCCAGGATAAGCAGCAAAAGCAATACTGTTAATTAGAACATTTTCTTAAACAATAAATTTCTGAAAGGTTAAACCTTAAATTCCTCAGTAGAAAGCATTTGTATTTTTACATAACTCAACTTAAAGTACCCATATCAGCCATGGGCTAAAAACTTAATAAAATCAACTTCAGTTCAATAAATCAATTTTAGTGTTTTCTCAGTCATTTCTCGTTTAAAACAACTCAGGATTTTCTTCCTTCTTCCCTGAGCTCCAACGAAGCTCTGAATTCACTTATATAGAGTCAAAGAGTCAGATTTTGATCAGTGTCCTGCTACAACACTGGTTGGTATTTGCTATTATATTTGTATTCCTATTGCTTTGGTTATTGTGACAGATTATTAGGAGCCCAAACCTGCATATATTAGCATCCTGTGAGGTGTAATCATGTTCTTATTAGACACTCACAAAGACATTCTATTTAGCATCCTCTACTAGGGCTTCACCCAATCCCAAACACAAGAACCCTGCTAACCTGTTAGCCAACACCTCATGTTTTACTTTTTAGATAAACAGCAGGCCTTTTCTGAAACATGAGAAAGTGTATTGCACTCCATGCAACAAATCATGGTGGGCAGGAATCTGTGAAGCTAAGCTCAATAAAGATTCCTCTCACAGTTATTACTAGAGGAAATGGGACTTCTTGTTCAAACTTCTTTTTAGTCCTTAGCTTAAGAAAAGGAGACCACTAGAGAGTAAAGCACTAGAAAACAAATCACTCCCATCTTATTTTCTTCAAAACTTATGACATTTCTGCCATATAAGATGAGAGTTTCAAATTTTGATGATAGTGTGGGATGGCAGAACCCTTCAATTGGGAAAGAGCCATTCTCAGGGATTATATGCATATGTAATTATTCCATCATTCCATCAGCTTTATATTCACCTCCAAGCTTATGTATACCCTTACCTCCAAACCCTAATATAAGGGAGTTATATTAATTGGAAACTACAATCAATTCAATCCCCTTACTCATTATTGCTCTATTTGGGTTTTCTTTTTCTTCATGATTCAGTCTTGGTAGGCTGTATGTTTCTAGGAATTTACACATTTCTTCTAGATTATTCAATTTGTTGATGTAAAATTATTCACAATATTCTCTTATGATTCTTTGTATTGCTGTGGGATCCACTGTAATGTCTCCTCTTTCTTTTCTGATTTTATTTGAATCTTCTCTCATTTTTTCTTAGTCTAGCTAAATGTTTGTTGATTTTGTTTGTCTTTTCAAAAAACAAACTCTTAATTTTGTTCATCTTTTATATTTTCTCCAGCCTCTAATTTATTTCTGCTCTGTTCTTTTTTAAAATATGGAACACTTCAAAAATTTGCATGTCATGCTTGCACAGGGCTCATGCTAACGTTCTCTTTATCGTTTCTATTTTAGTATATGTGCTGCTGAAGTGAGCACTCTGCTGTATTCTTTATTTCCTTCCTTCTACTAACTTTGACAGTAGTTTTTTCTTCTGTTTCTAGTTCCTTCACATGTAATGTTAGCTGGTTTATTTAAGCTATCTTTTAATGTAGAAATTTATTGCTATAAATTCTCTTAGAACACCTTTTGCAGCCTTTTGAAAGTTTTGGTATATGGCCCTTTAAGTTTTCTTTGTCTCAGGATATATATATATACATATATATCCTGAGACAGAGTCTCGCTCTGTCACCCAGGCTGGAGTGCAGTGGCGCGATCTCTGCTCACTGCAAGCTCCGCCTCCCAGGTTCACGCCATTCTCCCGCTTCAGCCTCCCGAGTAGCTGGGACTACAGGCGCCTGCCACCACGCCCGGCTAATTTTTTGTATTTTTAGTAGAGACGGGGTTTCACCGTGTTAGCCAGGATGGTCTCGATCTCCTGACCTTGTAATCTGCCCGCCTCGGCCTTCCCAAGTGCTGGGATTACAGGCGTGAGCCACCGCACCCCGCCGATTCAAGATATTTTTAAGTTTCTCTTTTAATTTCTACCTTGATAGATCGGTTGTTCGGAAGCACGTTGCCGGGCGCGGTGGCTCGGGCCTGTAATCCCAGCACTTTGGGATGCCGAGGCGGGCGGATCACGAAGTCAGGAGATCGAGACCATCCTGGCTAACACGGTGAAACCCCATCTCTAATAAAAACACAAAAAATTAGCCGGGCATGGTGGCGGGCGCCTGTAGTCCCAGCTACTCAGGAGGCTGAGGCAGGAGAATGGCGTGAACCCCGGAGGTGGAGCTTGCAGTAGGCAGAGATCACGCCACTGCACTCCAGACTGGGCAACAGAGCAAGACTCAGTCTCAAAAAAAAAAAAAAAAAAAAAGATAAGAGAAAAAAAATTATTTTGTGGACTAATAAATAATTTAACATTTATCCTGGAGAATGTTTTATGTATATTTGAAAATAATGTGTTTTATTCTTCAACTGGATAGAATTTTCTGTATATATCTGTTAGATTCATTTGGTCTAAAGAGTAGTTCAAGCGTGCTGACTACATATTGATTTCTCTGTTTGGTTTTTCCATCCATTTTGTTTCTTTTTCTTTTTTGTTTTTTGTTTGTTTGTTTTTTGAGACAGAGTCTCGCTCTGTCACCTAGGCTGGAGTACTGTGACATGATCTTGGCTCACTGCAACCTCTGCCTCCCGGGTTCAAGCAATTCTTGTGCCTCA
This sequence comes from Homo sapiens, assembly GCF_000001405.40. Lineage (NCBI taxonomy): Eukaryota > Metazoa > Chordata > Mammalia > Primates > Hominidae > Homo > Homo sapiens. Next base: position 76,243,740 of record NC_000023.11, on the reverse strand, counting down.
GCCTCCTGAGTAGCTGGGACTACAGGCATGTGCCACCATGCCCAGCTAGTTTTTGTTTTTTTTTTTTTTGTATTTTTTGGGAGAAATGGGGTTTTTACATGTTGGCCAGGCTGGTCTAGAACTCCTGACTTCAGGTGATCTGCTCACACTGGCCTCCCAAAGTGCTGCGATTACAGGTGTGAGCCACTCCACCTGGCCACTATCTGTCCATCTCTTAAAAGTGGGGTATTGAAGTCCCCTACTATTATTTTATTGCAGCCTGTTTCATCCTTTAGATCTACTGTCAGCTTTATATATTTTGGTTCTCTGATGTTGTGGGCATACATATTTACAATTGTTACATTTTCTTGATGAATTATATGAATTATGTCATTATATAATGATGTACTTTGTATCTTTTTAATCTTTTTTACTTAAAGTCTATTTTATTTGATGTGGGTATAGCTATCTTTGATCTCTTTTTGTTTCGATTTGCATGGAATCGTTTTCCATTCCTTCACTTTCAGTACATGTGTATCCTTAAAGATGAAGCAAGTTTGTTGTAGGCAGCATTCTTATTTTCTTCTTTAATCCATTCAGCCACCATGTATCTTTTGACTGAAGAACTTAATCCATTTAAACTCAAGTTAATTATTGATAATAAGGACTTACTACTACCATTTTATTAAATATTTTCTGGTTGTTTTATAAATCTTTCGCTATTTTGTTTCTGTACTCTTGTCTTCCTTTGTGATTAGATAATTTTCTGGAGTAGCGCTTTAATACCTTAATTTCTCTCTTTTTTGTACTTCTTATAGATTTTGCTTTGCAGTTACAATGAGGCAAACATAAAATAATTTATAACTATGACAGATCATTTTCAGCTAATGAGAACTGAATTTGACTAGCATACAAAACTACACTTTTACTCTCCTTTCACGTTTTCTTTTTGATGTCACAATTTCTATCTATATTGTGTATCTCTTACAAATTACTGTAGCTATTATTTTTCTAATAATTGTGTATTTTTAACCTTCACACTAAATATATAAGTGATTTACACAGACCATTGCAGTATTAGAGTATTCTGAATTTGATTATATACTTACTTTTACCCATGAGTCTTATACTTTCATGCTTTAAAGTTTCTCAGTAGTTTCTATTTCTTTCAGCCTGAAGAACTCCCTTTAGCATTTCCTCCAAGGCAGGTATAGTGGGAATGACCTAACTAGGCTTTTGTCTCAGAGATTTTTTTTTTTTTGAACAAGGTCTCACTCTGTCATCCAGGCTGGAGTGTAGTGGTGCAATCACAGCTTACTGCATCATTAACCTCCCAGGCTCAGGTGATCTTCCCACCTCAGCATCCTGAATAGCTGAGACTACAATCATGCTCCACCATGTGCAGTAAATTTTTCTGTGTTTTCCTTTTGTGAAGACAGGGTTTTGTCATGTTGCCAAGGCTGGTCTTGAATTTCTGGGCTTAAGCAATTCACCCACTTCAGCTTCCTAAAGTGCTGTGATGATAGGTATGAGCCACCATGTCTGGTCTCAGAAAGTCTTTATCTCTTCTTCACCTGTGGGGAACAGCATTTTGGGGTAAATTATTCCTGGTTGGCAGGGTTTTCTTTCAGTATCATGAATGTATCATCCAACGCTACTGACTTTTAAGGTTTCTGTGCAGAAATCAGCATATTAACATTTCTTTCTGTGTGATTTTTTAACTATTCCTCCTTTCATGATTCTCTCTCGCATTTGATTTCTGATAGTATGATTGTTAACATGATTGGTGTAGTCTTGTTTGGATTGAACATAATAGGAGATTGTTCAGTTACATCTATATATTTCCCCAGATTTGAAAATGTTTATAATGTTATTTCTTCTTTTTAATTTTTTAAGTTTTGTGGGTAAATATTGGTGTATATATTTATAGGGTACATAGGATGCTTGGATATAGGCATGAAAAAAGTAATAATCACTTCCCGCTAAATGAGATATTCATCACCTCAAATATTTATCCTCTGTGTTGCAAACAATCCAATTGTACTCCTTTAGTTATTTTTAAATGGACAATTACATAATTATTGACTATAGTCACACTGTCGTGCTATCAAATATCAGGTCTAATAATATTTTGATTTTTGATATATCAAATATCAGGTCTAATAATATTTTGCTTGATTTTCACATATGTCAAGAGATAGGGGTCTATTTTAATTCTTCTGCACATAGATATCCAGTTTTCCCAGCACCATTTATGGCGAGACTGTCTTTTTGCAATGTATGTTCCTGGCAACTTTCTTGAAAAAGAGTTAACTCTAGGTGTATGGATTTGTTTCTGGGTTCTATTCTGTTCCATTATTCTGTGTACCTATTTATATGCCAGTTCCATGTTGTTTTGGTTACTGTGGCTCTATAGTAGAGTTTGAAATCAGGTAATGAGAGTCCTCCAGTTTTTCTTTTTCTTTTTTTTTTTTTTTTTTTTTTTTTTTTTTTTGCTCAGGATAGCTTTGACCATTCTGGGACTTTTGTGATTCCATGGAAGCTTCAGGATTGTTTTTGCTATTATATTTCCCTGAATAATGTCATTGGTATTTTCATAGGGATTGCATTGCATCTGTAGATTGCTTTTGGTAGATGGACATTTTAACAATATTCTTCCAAAACATAAAGATAAAATATTTTTCCATTTTTCGGTGTCCTTTTAAATTATTTTCATCAGTTTTTCATAGTTTTTATTATAGAGATCTTTCACTTATTTGATTAAGTTAATTCCTAGGTATTTAATTTTAGGTGAGTCTAAATTAGATTACTTTTTTGTTTCTTTCTCACATTGTTCACTGTTGGCATATAGAAATGCTACTAATTTTTTATGTTGACGTTGTATCCTGCAACTGTACTGAAATTGTTTCAGTTCTAATAGTTTTCTTGTGGGGTCTTTAGGTTTTTTCAAATATAAGGTTATATCTTCTGCAAACGAGGATACTTTGACTTCTTCTTTTCCATTGTAGATGCCATTTATACCTGTCTGTTGTTGTTCTAGCAAGACTTTCAGTTTTTCCCCATTAAGTATGATACTAGCTGTGGGTTTTCATATATGGTTTTTATTTTCCTGATGTATGTTTTTTCTATACATACTTTTGTGAAAGTTTTTTAATCATGAAGGTATTTTGGATTTTAACAAATGCTTTTTCAGACTCAATTGAAAGGAGTATATAACTTTTTCTTCTTCATTCTGTGACATGAGGTGAGGTATCATATTGATTGTTTTGCATATGTTGAACCATCCTTTTATCAATGGGATAAATCCCACTGGATCATAATAACTGATCACTTTAATATATTTGTTTTACTAGTATCTTGCTGAAGATTTTTGCATCAGTATTCATCAATGATATTGGCATGCAGTGTCTTCTAGATAAGTCATTGTTTACTTTTGGTATTGGGGTTACACTGGCCTTTCAGACTGAGGGTGAAAGTATTCCTATTTTTTCAGAACATTTTGAGTATGATTACTACTAGTTCTTCCTTAAATGCTTGGTACAATTCAATTGAGCAGTGAAGCCATAGGATCACCAGCTTTGTTTGCTAGGGGACATTTTAGAATGGCTTCCATCTTATAACTTGCTATTGGTCTGTTCAAGTTAAGTATTTCTTCATGGTTCAATATTGATAGGCTGTATGTGTCTAGGAATTTTTTTAAGTACTGTGATACACATGCAGAAAGTGCAGGTTTGTTACATAGGTATATATGTGCCATAGTGGTTTGCTGCACCTATCAATGCATCATCTAGGTTTTAAGCCCTGCATGCATTAGGAATTTGTACTAAGGCTCTCCCTCCACTTGTCCCACACCCCCGACAGGCCCCAGTGTGTGATGCTCCTCTCCCTGTGTCCATGTGTTCTCATTGTTCAACTCCCACTTATGAGTGAGAACATGTGGTGTTTGGTTTTTTTCACGACTGCATAGTATTTCATGGTGCATATGTGCCACATTTTCTTTATCCAGTCTATCATTGATGGGCATCTGGGTTTGTTCCAAGTCTTTGCTATTGTAAATAGTACTGCAACAAACATACGTGTGGATGTGTCTTTAAAGTAAGATGATTTATAATCCTTTGGGTATATATCCAGTGATGGAATTGCTGGGTCAAATGGTATTTCTGGTCCTAGATCCTTGAGAAATCACCACACTGTCTTCCACAATGGTTGAACTAATTTACACTCCCACCAAGAGTGTAAAGGCATTCTTTTTCTCCACAGCCTCACCAAGATCTGTTGTTTCCTTCTTTTATTTATTTAATTTATTATTATTATTATTTTGAGATGGAGTCTCACTGTGTAGCCCAAGCTGAAATGCAGTGGCATGATCTCGGCTCACTACAACCTCTGCCTCCCGGGTCCTGGTTCAAGCAATTTTCCTGCCTCAGCCTCCCGAGTAGCTGAGATTTCAGGAATACACCACCATGCCCAGCTAATTTTTTCGTATTTTTAGTATAGGTGGGGTTTCACCATGTTAGCCAGGCTGGTCTTGAACTCCTGAACTCATGATCGGCCAACCTTGGCCTCCCAAAGTGCTGGGATTACAGGCCTGAGCCACCACGCCCAGCTGTTTCCTTACTTTTTAATGATCACCATTCTATCTGATGTGAGATTGTATCTCATTGTGGTTTTGATTTGCATTTCTCTAATGACCAGTGATGATTAGCCTTTTTTATATGTTTTTTGGCCACATAAATGTCTTCTTTTGAGAAGTGTATGTTCATATCCTTTGCCCACTTTTTGATGGGGTTGTTTGTTTGTTTGTTTCTTATAAATATGTTTAAATTCCTTGTAGATTCTGGATATTAACCTTTTGTCAGATGGATAGACTGCAAAACTTTTATCCTATTCTATAGGTTGCCTGTTCACTCTGCTGACAGTTTCTTTTGCTTTACGGAAGCTTTTTAGTTTAATAAGACCCCATTTGTCAGTTTTGGCTTTTGTTGTAATTGCTTTTTGTGTTTTAGTAATTAAGTCCTTGCCCATGCCTATGTCCTCAATGGTATTGCTTAGGTTTTCTTCTAGGGTTTTTATAGTTTTAGGTTTTACATTTAAGTGTTTAATCTGCCTTAAGTTAATTTTTGTATAAGTTGTAATGAAGGGATCTATTTTCAATTTTCTGCATATAGCTAGGCAGTTTTTCCAGCACTGTTTATTAAATAAACATTGCTGTTTTTGTCAGGTTTGTTGAAGATCAGATGGTTGTAGATGTGTGGTGTTATTTCTGAGGCCTATGTTCTGTTCCATTGGTCTATATATCTGCTTTGGACCAGTACCATGCTGTTTTGGTTACTGCAGCCTTGTAGTATAGTTTGAAGTCAGGTAGGGTGATGCCTCCAGATTTGCTCTTTTTGCTTAGGATTGTCTTGGCTATACAGGCTCATTTTTGTTTCCATATGAAATTTAAGGTCGTTTTTTCTGATTCTGCAAAGAAAGCCAATGATAGTTTCATGGGAATGGCATTAAATCTACAAATCACTTTGGGCAGTATGGCCATTTTTGAAATATTGATTCTTTCTATACACCAGCGTGAAATTATTTTCATTTGTTTGTGTCCTCTCTTATTTCCTTAAGCAGTGGTTTGTAGTTCTCCTAGAGGAGGTCCTTCACCGCCCTTGTAAATTGTATTCCTAGGTGTTTTATTCTCTTTGTAGCAATTGTGAATGAGAGTTCACTCATGATTTGGCTCTCTGTTTGTCTATTCCTAATGTATAGGAATGCTTGTGATTTTTGCACATTGATTTTGTATCCTGAGACTTTGCCAAAGTTGTTTATCAGCTAAAGGAGTTCTGGGGCTGCGATGACGGGGTTTTTGAAATATACAATCATGTCATCTGCAAACATAGACAATTTGACTTCCTCTCTTCCTATTTGAATACCCCTTATTTTTTTCTCTTGCCTAATTGCCCTGGCCAGAACTTCCAGTACTATGTTGAATAGGAGTGGTGTGGGAGGGCATCCTTTTCTACTGCTGGGTTTCAAAGGGAATGCTTCTAGCTTTTGCCCATTTAATATGATATTGGCTATGTGTTCATTATAAATAGGTCTTATTATTTTGAGATATGTTCCATCAATGCCTAGTTCATTGAGAGATTTTAGCATGAAAAGGTGTTGAATTTTTATCAAAGACCTTTTCTACATCTGTTGAGATAATCATGTGGTTTTTGTCATAGGTTCTGTTTATGTGATGGATTATGTTTATTGATTTGTGTATGTTGAACCAGCCTTGCATCCCAGGGATGAAGCTGACTTGATCATGGTGGATCAGCTTTTTGGTGTGCTGCTGGATTAGTTTGCCAGTATTTTACTGAGGAATTTCACATCGATGTTCATCAGAGATATTGGCCTGAAATATTTTGTTGTTGTTGTGTCTCTTCCAGGTTTTAGTATCCAGATGATGCTGGCCTCATAAAAGGAGTTAGGGCGGATTTCCTCTTTTTCTGTTGTTTGGAATAATTTCAGAAGGAATGATACAGCTCCTCTTTAGTATAATTTGGCTGTGAATCCGTCTGGTCCTGGGCTTTTTTTGGTTGGTAGGCTATTAATTACTGCCTCAATTTTAGAACTTTTTATTGGTCTCTTCAGGGATTCAACTTCTTCCTGGTTTAGTCTTGGGAGGGTGTATGTGTCCAGGAATTTATCCATTTCTCCTCAATTTTCTGGTTTGTTTGTGTAGAGGTGTTTATAGTATTCTCTGATGCTAGGCTGTATTTCTGTGGGATCAGTGATGATGTCCCTTTTATCATTTTTTATTGTGTCTATTTGATTCTTCTCTTTTCTTTTTCATTAGTCTAACTAATGGTCCATCTATTTTGTTAACCTTTTTAAAAAAAACCCGTTCCTGGATTCATGAATTTTTTGAAGGGTTTTTCCTGTCTTCATCTCCTGCAGTTCTGCTCTGATCTTAGTTATTTCTTGTCTTCTGCTAGCTTTTGAATTTGTTTGCTCTTGCTTTTCTACTTCTTTTAATGTCATGATAGGGTGTTGATTTTAGGTCTTTCCAGCTTTCTGATGTGGGCATTTAGTGCTATAAGTTTTCCTCTTAACATGGCTTTAGCTGTGTCCCAGAGATTCTGGTACATTGTGTTTTTGTTCTCACTGCTTTCAGAGAACTTTTTTATTTCGACTTTAATTTCATTATTTGCCCCTTAGTCATTCAGGAGCAGATTGTTCAGTTTTTTTGTAATTTTGTGGTTTTGGGTGAGTTTCTTAATCCTGAGTTCTAATTTGATTACATGTGGTGTGAGGGACTGTTTGTTATGATTTCCTTTTTTTTTTTTTTTGCATTTGCTAAGGAGTGTTTCAATTTCAATTATGTGGTCGATTTTAAACTACATGCTATGTGGCACTGAGAAGAATGTGTATTCTGTTTACTTGGGGGTGGAGAGTTCTGTATTTGTCTATTAGGTCCACTTGATCCAGAGCTGGGTTCAAGTCCTGAATATCCTTGTTAATTTTCTGTCTCATTGATCTAATATTGACAGTGGGGTGTTAAAGTCTTCCACTGTTATTATGTGGGAGTCTAACTCTGTTTGTAGGTCTGTAAGAACTTGTTTTACAAATCTGGGTGCTCATGTATTAAGTGCATATATATTTAGGATACTTAGCTCTTCTTGTTGAATTGATGCCTTTACCATTATGTAATGCCCTTCTTTGTCTTTTTTGATCTTTGTTGGTTTAAAGTTTGTTTTATCAGAGACCATGATTGCAAACCCTGCTTTTTTTTTTTTTTTTTTTTTTTTTGCTTTTCATTTGTATGGTAAAATTCCTATTCCTCCATCCCTTTATTTTGAGCCTATGTGTGTCTTTGCAGGTGATATATGTCTCCTGAATACAGCACATCGATTGGTCTTGACTCTTTATCTAATTTGCCAGTCCGTGTCTTTTAATTGGGGCATTTAACCCATTTACATTGAAGGTTAATATTGTTATGTGTGAATTTCATCCTGTCATCATGATGCTAGCTGCTTGTTTTGCACATTAGTTGAAGCAGTTTCTTCATAGTGTCATTGGTCTTTATATTTCGGTGTGTTTTTGCAGTGGCAGGTACTAGTTTTTCCTTTTCATATTTAGTGCTTCTTTCAAGAGCTCTTTGTACGACAGGTATGGTAGAAACAAAAATATCTTGGTATTTGCTTTTCTGGAAAGGATTTTATTTCTTCTTTGCTTATGAAGCTTAGTTTGACTGGATATGAAATTCTGGGTTGATTTCTTTTCTTTAAGAATGTTGAATATTGGCCCCAACTCTCTTCTGGCTTGTAGGGTTTCTGCAGAGAGATCCACTCTTAGTCTGATGGGCTTCCCTTTGTAGGTAACCTGACCTATCTCTCTGGCTGCCCTTAACATTTTTTCTTTCATTTAAACCTTGGAGAATCTGATGATTATGTGTCTTGGAGTTGCTCTTCTCTAGAAGTCTTAATGGTTTTCTCTGTATTTTCTGAATTTGAATGTTGGCCTATCTTGCTAGGTTGAGGAAGTTCTCCTGGGTAATACCCTGAAGTGTGTTTCCAACTTGGTTCCATTCTACCCATCACTTTCAGGTATATACATCAATCGTAGGTTTCATCTTTTCTCATAGTTTCATATTTTTTGGAGGCTTGGTTTGTTCCTTTTTATTCTTTTTTCTCTAATCTTGTCTTCATGCCTTACTTCAGTAAGTTGATCTTCAATCTCTGATATACTTTCTTCTGCTTGATGAATTCGGCTATTGATACTTGTGTATGCTTTATGAAGTTCTTGTGCTCTGTTTTTCAGCTCCATCAGGTCATTTGTGTTCCTCTCTAAACTGGTTTGTTTAGTTAGCAGTTACTGTAATCTTGTATGAAGGTTCTCAGCTTGTGTTGGTTAGGACATGCTCCTTTAGCTCAAAGGAGTTTGTTATTACCCACCTCTGAAGCCTACTTCTGTCAATTCATCAATCTCATTCTCTGTTCAGGTTTGTGCCCTTGTTGGAGAAGAGTTGCGATCATTTGGAGGAGAAGAGTCACTGTGGTTTTTGGAATTAGCATTTTTGCACTGGTCTTTCCTCATCTTCATGGATTTATTTACCTTTGGTCATTGAGGCTGATGACCTTTGGATAGGATGTTTATGTGGGGGTTCTTTTTGTTGATGTTGATGTTGTTCCTTTCTGCTTGTTAGTTTTTCTTCTAAGAGTCAGGCCCCTCTTCTGCAGGTCTGTTGAAGTTTGCTGGGGGTCCACTGTAGACCCTGTTTGCTTGGGTATCACCAGTGGAGGCTGCAGGACAGCAAAGATTGCTGCCTGCTTCTTCCTCTGGAAGCTTTGTCCCAGAGGGGCACTGACCTGATGCAGCCAGAGCTCTCTTGTATGAGGTGTCTGTCAATCTCTGTTGGGAGGTCTCTCCCATTCAGGAGACACAGGGGTCTGGGACCCACTTGGGGAGGAAGTCTGTCCCTTAGCAGAGCTTGAGTGTTATGCTGGGAGAGTCTTGTCAGGATCAGATTCTCTCTTCAGAGCCAGCAGGCAAGAATGTTTAAGTCCACAGAAGCTGCACCCACAGCTGCCCATTCCCCCAGGTGCTCTGTCCCAGGGAGATGAGAGTTTTATCTAAAAGCACCTGGCTGGGGCTCTTGCCTTTCTTTTAGAGATATCCTACTCATGAAGAAGGACTCTAGAGAGGCAGTCTGGCCACAGCTGCTTTGTCATGCTGTGATGAATTCCACCCAATCCAAACCAACAGGCCTACTTAGCACTGCCAGGGGAAAACCACCTACTAAAGCCTCAGTAATGATGAACGTCCCTCCTGTCACCAAGCTCAATCATCCCAGGTCAACTTCAGACTGCTGTGCTGGCAGTGAGAATTTCAAGCCAGCGTTTCTTAGCTTGCTGGCCTCCATGGGAGTGGGATCTGCTGAGTGAGACTGCTCGGCTCCCTGGCTTCAGCCCCCTTTCCAGGGGAGTGAATGGTTCTGCCTCAAAGGGGTTCCAGGTACCACTGGGTACAAAAATAAAATAAAATAAAAACTCTGCACTAGCTCGGTGTCTTCTCAAACAGCTGCCCAATTTTGTGCTTGAAACCCAGGGCCCTGGTGGTATAGGCACACAAGGGAATCTCCTGATCTGTGGATTGCAAAAACCGTGGGAAAAGTGTTGTACCTGGGCAGGATAGCACAGTCCCTCATGGCTACCCTTGGCTGGGGGAGGGAGCTCCCTGGCTCCTTGCACTTCCTGGGTGAGGCGATGCCCCACACTGCTTCTGCTCACCTTCCGTGCGCTGCACCCACTGTCTAACCAGTCCCAGTGAAATGAACTGGGTACCTCATTTGGAAATGCAGAAATCACCCTCCTTCTGCGTTGGTCTCGCTGGGAGCTGCATATCGGACCTGTTCCTATTCGGCCATCTTGCCAGATCTCCTCTGTGTCTAGGAATTTATCCATTTCCTCTAGATTTTCAAATGTACTGACATATAGTTGCTCATAGTAGCCACTAATGATTTCTTAAATTGCTATAGTGTAAGTTGTAATGTTTCCTTTCCATCTCTGATTATACTTATTTGGGTCTTTTCTTCTTCATTAGAATAAATTCTATACATTTTGTTTATCTATTCAAAAAAACCAACTATTCATTCTATTGATTTTTGTATTGTTTTCTTTATTTCTATTTCATTTATTTCTGCTCAATCTTTATTATTTCTTTTCTTCTACTAATTTTTGTTTTGGTTTGTTCTTGCATTTTTAATACTTTGAAATACATTGTTATTATTTTGAAGTTTTTCTACTTTTTTGATGTAGGCACTTATAGCAATAAGTATTCCTCTTTATACTGCTTTCACTATATCTGATGCAGTGGTTTTGGTATGTTGTGTTTCCATTTTCATTTGTTTCAATAGTTTTAAAAATTTTCATCTTAATTTCTTTATGACCCATTCATCATTCAAGAGCGTGTTGCTTAATTTCCAAGTGTTTGCATAGTTTTCAAAATTCCTCTTGTGCTCGATTTCTAGTTTTATTTCACTGTGGTCAGAGAAAATGCTTGATATTATTTCATTTTTGAAATGGTTTAAGAGTTTTGTTGTGACCTAATATATGGTCCTTCCATGAGAATAATCCCCCTACTGAGAAGAAGAATGTGTATTCTGCAGCCATTGAAAAAAATGTTCTGTAAGTATCTATTACATCTATTTGTTCTATAGTGCAAATTAAGTCTGATATATCTTTCAAATTTTCTTTCTGGAAGATCAGTCCAATGCTGAAAGTGGGATGTTGAGGTCTCCAGCTATTGTTGTAGTGGTGTCTATCCCTCTCTTTAGCTCTAATAATGTTTGCTTTATATATCTAGGTGCTCTATTATCAAATGCATATATATTTCCAATTAGTTTTTTTGCTGAATTGACCTGTTCATCATTATATAATGACCTTATTTATCTCTTCTTACAATTTTTGTCTTGAAATAAATTTTGCCTGATATAAATATACTTACTCCTGCATTTCTTTTTGTTTCAATTGCCATGAAATATCTTTTTCCATTCTTTTATTTTAAATCTACGTAAAGCTTTATAAGTAAAGTGTGTCTCTTTTTGTCAACAGATGATAGGTTCTTGTTTTTTATCCATTCATCCAGTCTATGTTTTTGGAGAGTTTAGTCAATTTACATGTAGTGTTATTATTGATAGTAAGGGTTTACTTCTGCCATTTTTCATTTGTTTTCTGTTGTTTTGAAGCTTCCTCTTCTTTTCTTTCTTCCTGTCTTTCTTTTAGTGAAGGTGATTTTGTATGGTGGTATGATATACATTTTTGCTATTTGTTTTCTTATGTATCAACTGTTTATTTTTCAATATGAGGTTACCTTGAGGCTTCCAAATATTATCTTGTATCCCATCATTTTAAATTGATGACAACTTACCACTTATTGTCTAAACCACACACACACACACACACACACACACACACACAAATAAAACTAATGGAAACTCTACACTTTAATATCATTCCCCCACTTTTTAATTATTTGTTGTTTTCTTTTATATCTCATTGTATTCTCTATGTTGGAAAAACTGTATTTATTATTTTGAATTGGTTCATTATTTAGTATTTCTACTTAAGATAACAGTAGTTTACACACCACAATGACTGTGTTATACTATTGCTGGGGTTCACCTGGAACCAGATTCAGTTGTAGTGGGCCTGGTGTCTGGGGCTGCAGGGGCTGATGTGGAACATGGATTTACAGATGTGGTTCTGGAACCTCAGCTAATACTTCTCTTAAAATTCTAATAATTAAATTGATTAGAAAAACTACATGAAAAGCCCATTTAAAGATCAGTGAGTATATGCAAAGTTTTTTATGGCAAAAATGGTTTTTCAGTTGAGTGGAAAAATAATGGATTGTACAATAAATAAGATTAGAAACTGTGCTACCTATATGGAAAAATAAAACTAGATTTCTATTTGGTAACACATATATAATTGAATCTTTTCTAGATTAGGAATTTGAGTATACAAGATTTTTAAATAAATGGCAAGAAGTCATAAAAATTATAATGTTGCATCAAGATAGTCTTTGATAAGAAGCAGCACATGGGAAAAACAAAAGATAAGATTGAGAAATAATGTTATAATATTGGGTGCTGAAAAGAGAAGAATTAAGTTTTTAGTAATGCCAGAGTAGCTTGTATAGAAATGACCTGCCCACAGATAAACATTATAAAATCTGCACAAAGTATACTCTTGAAATGACAGCAACTCCAGTGGAACTGGAGAGCTACCAGAGCAAGCAGAAACTGGAGAGGAGTCAATAGCAAAGAAGTAAAGAGGATACAAATTTATGTTTAGAGAGACTTTTGCTTTTTGCTTGAGGGCATATCCCAGCCCCTGTGGCCCAAAATACCTATAACTCCATTACAAAACTGCAATGATGGAACCTGTGGCTACTATGGTGGTTGAAAAGTGACATAGTAAAATCCCAGAAAATAAGAACCCACCATAAAGTCAAATATTAAATAAGCCTGTCATGGACTTCACAACTTAGGACCTGAGAGCCAACTCTTTGAAGTATAAAATAATACCTGATCTCTCAGTCTTCTGGGAGATAATGGGCCTAATTTTAGCTGTCACCTGACTCCAAACTGCAAGCTCTACTTATATGATAAAAATAGTATAAAACTAGCAATTTTATTTTGAAAGCATGAATGTAATGGGTTGTATCCACTTTGCTATATACAAGTAAGTTTTCATTCTGTCTTCAGTATCTCAAGTGAATTGCCTTATATGTGTATCACAGCCTGGTTTAATGCTTATTTAATTTTAAAAAGTGTTCTTTTTTTCTACCTTTGTGAAGAGGTTTTCAGATTGAGGGCAAGTTTTGTTTTAAATTATGTATTTCCCAAAATTTTAGTGATGAGGATGAGATTGGCAGTCGTTGAATTTAGCAGACCAATTGAAAGTTTTGTGATTCCATAAAAGTCAGGTAGAGCCTTAATTGTATATATTAAAAAATCTCCCTTCTATTTCCATACTTTTTAGAATACTAGCTGAATAAATTGACCCTTCCAAATTCAGTATATTGCTATTGAAAAAGCATGGTAAAATAGCCTTTAAAATCTCATCAAGGTCATCACTAGTTTTGATCATGGAAAAGTACTGGAAGCCAGAAAGGTTACTTCCAGTTATTTCTGTTTAAGAACTAAAATATCTCTGTCCTGGTTGGAATGAGTATACATGTGATAATCTAGTCTTGTAATGGCCCAAGAATAGTTCTTTTGATTGGTATAAATTGACATATTTGTGGAGGTTCTTGGCAGGGTCTCATTTCAAGTAAATAAATTACTAGTATTTATGGTATTGCTACCATTCTAAGAGTGAAGTTAAAAATCATTTGGATAGCCAGAAAATAGTTAAAGGAAATGGAAAATATATATGAAAATTAAAGGCACCTTGTCTTTTAAAAAAAACCCTTTCTACTTTTTTCTGCCATTTCTTCTCTCTATGATGTCCTTGCATTAATCTGACTACTTTAAAAAAATAGAGAGATGCTAATATTTCAGATGGCTACTTCATTAGTGGATTTCCCTGAAAAAAAAAATAAATGAGGGCACAAACTGTTTCATTGGTAGTACATTTTCTGCTCTGTATGAGGACATGGGTTTGTGTGCTTTATGACCTAGCCAAGTCCACTTCATATCTGAGCCCAGATTCCACATCCAAGAGTCTGTTCTCATTCACACACCATACAGCTAGGAAAACAGACATAAAAAAATAAACATGACCACAGAATAATTGATAATTTGAAGATCAGGCTGTGTCTTCATATATAGGCAGAATGATGGAGAGTATTTTTATTAGTCACTTGAAAAAAAGAGAAAAAAGGTATTAGACTGCTCACTAATACAGAAAAGGGGACAAAAGTGCCATATAACTCTATATTTTTTCTTTCTCTAGACAAAAAATAAATCAATCCGTTATATTCAGATCACCAACAAAGCTTATGCCATTGAGAGGTTACCCACACCCATCGGGGGTAAATTAATTAAGAATACACATGTGTGGCCAGGCACGGTGGCTCATATTTGTAATCCCCGCACTTTAAGAGGCCGAGGTGGGTGGACCATTTGAGGTCAGAAGTTTGAGACCAGCCTGGCCAACATGATAAAACCCAATCTCTACTAAAAAATAAAAAAATAAAAAATAGCCTGGCGTGGTGGCAGGTGCCTATAATCCCTGCTACTTGGGAGGCTGAGGCAAGATAATCACTTGAACCCAGGAAGCAGAGGTTGCAGTGAGCCAAGATCATGTCACTGCACTCCACTCCAGCCTGGTCAACAGAGCGAGACTCTGTCTCAAAAAAAAAAAAAAAAAGAAAACAAAAGAAAAGAAAAAGAATATACATGCTTTTCTCACTGGTTGGTATCAATTATCTAAAGACTTCTTTTTCTGTGACCTGGAAGACTCATAGAAGTTTGCAGAAATACTGCACAGCATGTTTTGTGTTTACAGACCCAAGCATGGTTGCTTACACTGGTTGTTGTAGAAGATTTTGCAATCAGCAGACTTTCTAGCAACAAGTAGACAGTCTAAAAATAGGTCCCCTACATGAAAAGTCACTGTGACCAAGAGAGGGCTATTATCCACCACCACCTACAACTACAGAAGAATTAAGTGCACTAGCAGCCCACTGAAGGGATTTCTTGGTGACTTTACTTGAAGGCTTTCTACAAAGGTGAGCTAGAAAATGTTACAGCATTGTACCCAGAAAAGGGCGAGTGCCTCCACTGATTTCTATAAGTGGTTTGTTGAGGCTTTTTGAAAAATCACTGGCATGGACAGAGTTGAGGACCAAAACTGCACTCTAGTCTTAGCAAACTGAGTATTGGCTATCTTGACAACTATCCAAACCCAGGTTGAGTAAAAAATGGCAGTATGACAAGGACAGACTATTGCTCAGCAGCTATTCAGTTTGGGGACAATCTAGAGAAATATAAAGAAGAAATGCAAAACTACTGTTTTAACCACTCAATTAGAACATTTTACTAACAGAAGTAATTCCTATATTTGTCAATATATAAAGGGAGAAAGGAAAGAAAACTATATGTTATTTTTAAAAAAAGAACATTTTAGGAAAATCTATAGATAAAAATACCACAGGATGAATAAATTTCAGGAATAAGAAAATCAGTAAAGCCAATAGAAGGATAAAACCCTCAGCTAAGAAAACTTTACAATTGGCTCTAAACTGATAGATTTAAAAATCTTGGAAATAAAAACTGGTGAATCATATGTCTCAATAACTTTTCCTTATGTTAATATATCTTTTTTGGATAGACACTTGTGGTACTTACTCTGCAATTTCCATGGAAATGTAGGTTAATATATCTTTTTTGGATAGACACTGGTGGTACTTACTCTGCAATTTCCATGGAAATGTCTTGTTTTCCATCTGGCAACAGATCAATAGAGGTTGCTAGTATTTCAGGTCAACATTATACTTGTTCCATTTTCTCCATGGTTCACACAAATATAAGTATATTGCTTAGGGCAGTAAAAATATTTTAACAATATTAATACTTCTGGTTCATGAACACACAGTAACTTTTCATCTATTTGTGTCATCTTCAATTTTTTTCACAAAGTTTTATAGTTTTATGTGTACAAGTCTTTCACCACCTTGGTTAAATTTATTCCAACATATTTTATGCTATTTTAAATAAGATTGTTTCATTAAATTCTTTCTTATGTATAGAAATGCTACTAATTTTTGTATGTTAATTGTGTTGCTTATAACTTTACTTAATTTATCAGCTCTAACAATGTTTTAGTGGAGTCTTTAGGATTTTCCAACTATAAGATCATGTCATCTGCAAACAATGATAATTTGACTTCATTTCAAACTTGGATGAACTTTATTTTATTCTCTTGCTTGATTGCTCTGGTTTGTATTTCTGGTATTACATTGGATAAAAGAGATGAGAAAAATCATCTTTGCCTAGTACTAAATCTGAGAATAAAAACTTTCAGATATTTCTTATTATCATGATAGAAAGGATGTTAAATTTTGTCAAATGCTTTTATGTAGAGACATCACCAAAATGGTAGAGTAGAAGCTAGCAGGCTTCTCTCCCCACTACCAGAAAATCAAAACCAAATATGCAGTGCCAAGCTTATCAACAGCAAAATTCCAGAACTCAAATATGAGGATAAAATAGATGTTGTGGTCAAGTAGAAGTGAAAAAACTTCATACAGATAGTAAGATAATTGAATATAGCTCTGATGCCCATCCTACATTCTGCCAGACACCAAGCATCCAGAAAATTTTCCCATAACTCAGTTACTATACTAGAAAAAAGTGAAATTGATGTTGACAATGAGCTTCCCTGCAATGTTGGGATCCTAAAGATTTGTTTCCACCTCAATCCACAGAAAACATTGCAAGTACCTGAAGGGAGAAAAAATCCTGAAAACAGCCAAAGAAAAATGGTGAAAGCAGGACCTGCTCTGTTTCTAGGCCAAAAGAGAGGTCAAATCAGAATGGCTGTTCAGTGCACCGTACTGTAAGAAGTGCATTCCACATGTGCCCTGGGTGCAAACCTCTAACCAGACTTCCCACACTGCTTTCATATGCCCTTTGGAGCCTTCCCCATCTGGGACCAGTAGCTGGGCCATTTACTAGAACCCAGACAAACTTGGGCATAAGGGGTCATCTAGTGCCAAATAGGAGGCAATGACCTAGCAAAAAAGTATATTCCAAAGTTATATTGCAAATAAATATCAAAGTAAACATTTACAATAGAAATTTAAACAAGCCAGGGAGAGAAGGGTAGTAACTAATCCTTCAGTGTGAAGATGCAGACATATGTACAAAAGAAACAATAGCAATCAGGGAACCATGACCTCCCCAAAGAGACAAAGCAAGGAGTCAGTGACCAATTATAATGAAATGGCAATAGGAAAGTTCCCTGATCAAGAATTTAAAACAGCTGTTTTTACCTATTTGGCACTATGCTCACTACCTGGGTGATGCTAACACCTGTATCCCAAGCCTCAGCATTATGCAATATACTCATGTCACAAAACTGTACATGTACCCCCTGAATGCACAAAGTTGAATTTTAAAAAAACACAAAATACAAAATAAAAGTTTTAAGAAAACTCAGCATTATATGTAACACAAAAAAGCAACTCAGAGATTTACTAGAGAAATGTAACAAAGATATTAAAATATTTTGTTAAAACTCAAACAAAAATCCTAGAACTGAAAAATTCGTTTGCTGAAGTGAAAAACTTATTAGGGGCTCTCAACAGCAGAATGGGTCAAGCAGAGAAAATAATCAGTTAGCTGAAAGACAGACTATTTGAAAATACACTGTCAGACTTCTCAAAAGAAGACATTTATGCAGCCAACAGACACATGAAAAAATGCTCATCATCACTGGCCATCAGAGAAATGCAAATCAAAACCACAATGAGATACCATCTCACACCAGTTAGAATGGCGATCATTAAAAAGTCAGGAAACAACAGATGCTGGAGAGGATGTGGAGAAATAGGAACGCTTTTACACTGTTGCTGGGACTGTAAACTAGTTCAACCCTTGTGGAAATCAGTGTGGCAATTCCTCAAGGATCTAGAACTAGAAATACCATTTGACCCAGTGATCCCATTACTGGGTATATACCCGAAGGATTATAAATCATGCTACTATAAAGACACATGCACACGTATGTTTATTGTGGCACTATTCACAATAGCAAAAACTTGGAACCAACCCAAATGTCCATCAATAATAGACTGGATTAAGAAAATGTGGCACATATACACTATGGAATACTATGCAGCCATAAAAAAGGATGAGTTCATATCCTTTGCAGGGACATGGATGAAGCTCGAAACCATCATTCTGAGCAAACTATTGCAAGGACAGAAAACCAAACACCGCATGTTCTCACTAATGGGTGAGAATTGAACAATGAGAACACTTGGACACATGGTGGGGGACATCACACACGGGGGCCTGTCATGGGGTGGGGGTTGGGGGAGTGATAACATTAGGAGAAATACCTAAAGTAAATGACAAGTTAATGAGTGCAGCAAACCAACATGGCACATGTATACCTATGTAACAAACCTGCATGTTGTACACATGTACCCTAGAACTTAAAGTATAATGATAAAAAAAGAAAATGAAAAATACACAGTCAGAAAAGAAAAAACAAAAAAAGAAACTAAATAAAAAATGCCTACCAGATATATAAAATTACCTCAAAATAGAAAATCTAAGAATTATTGATGTTCAATAGGGATCTGAGCAAGAGCAAGGAGTAGAAACCTCATACAAAGAAATAAAAAAAAAGAAAACTTAAAAACTTGAGGAAGATATAAATGTCCAGATACAGGAAGTCTGAGAACAGCACAGAGCACAGAGATTCAACCCAAATACAACTACAACAACATAATAATCAGACTGTCAAAGGTCAAGGACAAAGAGAGGATTCTAAAAGGAGCAAGAGAAAAAAAGCAAATAACATACAAAAAAGCTCCAATTCATCTGGAGCTCATTTTCATCTGGATTTTATTTTTAGTGAAAATCATATAGGACTGGAGGGAGTGGGATGACATATTCAAGTGTCTAAAAGAAAAAAACTACCAACCAAGAGTTCTTTACCCAGCAAAACTCTTCTGCAAACATGAAGGAGAAATAAAGTATTTTCCAGATAAGCAAAAGCTGACAGAATTTATCACCACCAGAACCAACTTACAAAACATGGCGAAGGGAGTTCTTCAATCTGAAAGAAAATAAAAACAGTAACATGCAAAATGAAAACATTTAAAGGTATAAAACCCACTAGTAAAAGTAAATACATAGCAAAATAAAAATACTTTAACACTGCCATTGTGGTTTGCAATCCACTAACTTGAACCTGGGAGGCAGAAATTGCAGTGAGCTGAGATCACACTACTGCACTACAGCCTGGGTGACACAGTGAGATTCTATCTAAAAAAAAAAAAAAAGACAAAAAATTTTGAAGACAGTGAAGGTGAAAGGCCACATACACATAGGCTGAAATAGATGGAAAAAGATATTCCTTGAAAATGGTAAACAAAAGACAGCTGAGTTGGCTATATTCATATCAGATAAAATAGACTTTCAGTCAAAAACTGTTGCAAGAGACAAAGGTCACTACATAATGACAAATAAGTCAATTTGTTTAGAAGATATAACAATAGCATGTATGTATGCACCAAATATGAGAACACCTAAATATATAAAGCAAATAATAAACGCGAAGGGAGAAATAGACAGCAATACAATAACAGAAAGGGACTTCAATACCCCACTGTCAAAAATAGACAGATCATGCAGACAGAAAATCAATATGTAACATTGGGCTTGAACTATAGACCACATAGTCCCAACATACATATTAAGATCATTCCATTCAATAGTTGCAGAATATACATTCTCAAATGCACTTAGAACATGCTCCAGGATAGATCATATATTAGGCCACAACACAGTTTAAGATTCATAAAATTGTTTGTTTGTTTGTTTGTTTGTTTGAGACGGAGTCTTGCTCTGTCACCCAGGCTGGAGTGCAATGCTGTGATCTCGGCTCACCACAATCTCCACCTCCCGGGTTCAAGCTATTCTCCTGCCTCAGTCTTCCAAGTAGCTGGGATTATGGGTGCCTGCCACCACACCTGGCTAATTTTTGTATGTTTAGAAGAGAAAGGGTTTCATTGTATTGGCCAGGCTGGTGTTGAACTCCTGACCTCAAGTGATCCACTTGCCTCCCAAAGTGCTGGGATTACAGTCATGAGCCACCATATCCAGCCATCAATAACCAAATGTGTGATTTTTTTTGATAAAAATAATTAAAATGAGGGTTTTTTCCAATAAAGAAGAGAAATAACAATAACAGATTATATCCTGGTTACAAGCTAATTACCACATCCTATACAATGTGGTTGTGCTCAACATGTAGTCAATGATAATATGAATAATGAACATTTGAAATTTTAAAATCCCATTATTACTTGTCAATGTTGTAAATTCATAAATGTTGAAATAAATACTTACAAATAAGTATCTTTTAGAGACTTTAGTTTGACAGTGCCTATATATTAACCCCAAGGTTACATAAAAATAGTACAGCTAATGAATTAATATTACTGCTAATTTCCCCTTAATTTCTCTATAATATGGCTGTCTGGTGTTGCATTAGTGAACATACTTCCGACAAATACATCGGTGCCCCAGAGACTATGATAAATCGCTTCACATTATCCAAGATCATCAACAGATAATCCTAAATGTTAGTAGCTTTCATCTGTTTTAAAAAGAGGGTTGTTTATACATGGTCCAAAAAATGCCAAACCAATTAATTCAGCCCACTATCCTCAGCTTGAAGTGCATAGCAAATTTCTTTAGCACTATTGATAAACTTTTCCAAGAGCGTTTCTCTTTCAATTTCTACTTCTTCATGTCAAACTATCATATCATTCTTGGTTTTGTGGTGTTATAGTCAGAATCATTAGTTTGCTATTAGCCACTTCTGGAAATAATGATTCAAAATCTCTTCACAGCAATTCTGGACATGCTTGGGTTGCACACTCTACTCTGGCACTTTCAAAGTGAAAGACTGGTTTGGACCATGTGGGAAAATGAAGGTTGGACATGTCTCATTACACCCTTCCAGCATTAACATTAACACAAGCCTTTAGTCTGATTAAAAACATTTACAGTCTATTCTCTCTAAAGCCTGCTACTTGGAGGCTTCATCTACATGATAAAACCTAGGTCTCCACAACCCCTTATCATAATCAGACATTTCTTTCTACTAATAATAACTCTTTCAACCAATTGCCAATCATAATAAGTTTAAATATACTTATGGTCTACCTATGGGCCTGTAATCTGAGCTACTCGGGAGGCTGAGGCAGGAGAATCACTTGAACCTGTGAGGCGGAGGTTGCAATTAGCTGAGATCATGCCACTGCACTCAAGTCTGGGTGACAGAGCAAGACTCCATTAAAAAAAAAAATCTAATCGAAGAAATAAAAACCACTAAAGTATCTAAACCAGAAGGACTTGAGAACATTGGATCATGACGAAGGGGAGGCAGGACTAGATTGCCCTCCAGACAGAGCAGCATGCAGAGTCTCACATTGTGAATTTTAGCAAGAACAATCCAGCAATCCTGACAGGACTCACAAACCCTCTGAAGGAAGTAGACTGCTCCTGCTGGACCCAGGAGGTGCCCCAAATACTGTGAGTGCTCCATCTGCAGAAGTGGGAAACTTCTCTCCCAAACACATCCACCCACAGGAGAAACTAAAGGTCTGTTTGTGGGAGATGTTTCCGACCTCACCTGGAGCTGAGTCAATTTAGAGAGCCAAGTGAAACTCAGGGGTAGAGGAAGCAGTGGAAAGGCCCTTGAAGCTAGCTGGGTCCCCAGGCAGGCCATTCCTGCCTGGCACCACAGAGATCCATCAGGAGGGTGGCCAGAGAAGCAGGGAGCAAAACTTCACAGGGAGAAGGAAGTATCCAGCTGAAATTTGTAACAACTTGAACAAAGCAAGAAGCCTCCTGACCAGAACTCAGGGGAGGGCACAAATCCAGTGTGCAGACTACACAGGTAGGAGAAGAACTAAGCCGTTTTTCTTTTCTTTTCTTTTCTTTTCTTTTCTTCTCTTTTTTTTTCTTTTTTTTCTTTTTTTCTTTTTTCTTTTTTTTTTTTTTTTTTTTTTGCAGCTGGGAAGTGGGTACCCTGGGGTAAGTTTTCAAGGCTGTCTTGCCCACCACCTAGAAACAGACTCGGGAGCTGTTGGGGGTTCACGGTGAAAGTCAGTCTGGTCCTTCAGTTTGCATGGGAGCTGGATGAGGCCTGAGACTGCCAGCTTTCCCTCACTTCCCTGACAACCTGCAGGACTCAGCCGAGGCAGCCATAATCTTCCTAGGTACACAAATCCAGACCTTGGAATCTCATCCACATCTCCCACAGCAGCTGCGTCAAGACCTGACTGAAAAAAGAATCTGAGCTCAGACATGCCTACCCCTGTCTCCACCTCCTGGTCTTTCCCTACCCACCCTGGTAGCAGTAGACAAAGGGAATATAAATCTTAAAAGTTCTAGGGCCCTGCCCACCACCAGTCCCTCTCCATACCACTACAGCTCATGCTATCTGGAAAGCACCACCTCCCGGCAGGAGGCAAATCAGCACATAATAGAGCATTAAACCACCAAAGGTAGGAAAGCTCATGAAGTCCATTGCACCCGCCCACCACCTCCACAGGAAAAGGCACTTGTATCCATGGCTGAGAGACCCATAGTCAGTTCACCACACAGAACTTTGTGCAGACAACCCCCAGTACCAGCCCTGAGCCAGGTAGACTCACAGGGTGGCTAGACCCAGAAGAAATGCAACAATCAATGCAGTTTGACTAACAGGAAGCCACATCCATAGGAAGAGGGGAAAAGTACTACATCAAGGGAAAAACCAATGGGACAAAAGAATCTGAACAACAGCTTTCATCCTTAGATCTTCCTTCTGACAGCGCCTACCCAAATGAGAAGGAACCGGAAAACCAACTATGTTAATATGACTAGTTGACCAGCAACAGATCCAAACCAAGAAGAAATCCCTGATTTATCTGAAAAAAAAAAAAAAAAATTCAGGAGGTTAGTCATTAAGCTAATAAGGTAGGCACCAGAGAAAGGCAAAGCCCAATGAAAGAAAATCCAAGAAACAATACAAGAAGTGAAGAAAGAAATATTTTAAAAAAAGATAGCTTAAATTAGAAACAATCAAAAATTCAGGAAAGTTTGGACACACTTTTAAAAATACAAAATGCTCTGGAAACTCTCCGCAATAGAATTGAACAAAGAAGAAAGAAATTCAGAGCTCAAAGACAAGGTCTTTGAATTAACCCAATCCAACAAAGACAAAGAAAAAAGAATAAGAAAATATGTACAAAGCCTCGAAGAAGTCTGGCATTATGTTAAATGACCAAACCTAATAATAATTGGTGTTCCTGAGGAAGAGGATTCTAAAAACTTGGTAAACATAGTTGGGGAAATAATAAAGGAAACCTTCCCTGGTGTTGCTAGAGGCCTAGACATCCAAATACAAGAAGCACAAAGAACACCTGAAAATTTCAGAACAAAAACATCATGCCTAGGCACATTGTCATCAGGTTATCCAAAATGAAGACAAAGGAAAAAATCTTAAGAGCTGTGAGACAGAAGCACCAGGTAACCTATAAAGAAAAACTAACAGCAGAGTTCTCAGCAGATACTCTACAAGCTAGAAGGGATTGGAGACCTATCTTTAGCCTCCTCTAACAAAACAATTATAAGCCAAGAATTTTGTATTCAGTGAAACTAAGCATCATATATGAAGGAAAGATATAGTCTTTTTCAGACAAATAAATGCTGAGTGAATTCGCCATTACCAAGCCACCACTACAAGAACTGCTAAAAGGAGCTTAGATCTTGAAAATAATCCTGGAGATATATCAAAACTGAGCCTCTTTAAAGCATAAATGACACAGGACCTATAAAACAAGTATACAAGTTAAAAAGCAAAAACAATACACACAAAAAAGTACACAGGCAACAAAGAGCACAATGAATGCAATTGTACCTCACATTTCAATACTAACACTGAATGCAAATGGCCTAAATGCTCCACTTAAATGATACAGAACCACAGAGCAGATACAAACTCAACACCTAACTATCTGCTGCCTTCAGGAGACTCACCTAACACATAAGGACTCACAAAAACTTAAAGTAAAAGGGTGGAAAAAGGCATGTCATGCAAATGGACACCAAAAGTGATCAGAGGTAGCTATTCTTATATAACACAAAACAAACATTAAAGCAACAGCAGTTTAAAAAGATAAAGAGGGACATTATGTAATAGTAAAAGGCCTTGTCCTACAGGAAAATATTACAATCCTAAACATATATGCACCTCACATTGGAGCTCCCAAATTAATAAAACTGTTACTAATAGACCTAAGAAATGAGACAGACAGCTCTCCCTCTCCCTCTCCCTCTCCCTCTCCCCACGGTCTCCCTCTCATGCGGAGCCGAAGCTGGACTGTACTGCTGCCATCTCGGCTCACTGCAACCTCCCTGCCTGATTCTCCTGCCTCAGCCTGCCCAGTGCCTGCGATTGCAGGCTCACGCCACCACGCCTGACTGGTTTTGGTGGAGACGGGGTTTCGCTGTGTTGGCCGGGCCGGTCTCCAGCCCCTAACCACGAGTGATCCGCCAACCTCGGCCTCCCGAGGTGCCGGGATTGCAGACGGAGTCTCGTTCACTCAGTGCTCAATGGTGCCCAGGCTGGAGTGCAGTGGCGTGATCTCGGCTCACTACAACCTACACCTCCCAGCCGCCTGCCTTGGCCTCCCAAAGTGCCGAGATTGCAGCCTCTGCCCGGCTGCCACCCCGTCTGGGAAGTGAGGAGTGTCTCTGCCTGGCCGCCCATCGTCTGGGATGTGAGGAGCCCCTCTGCCTGGCTGCCCAGTCTGGAAGGTGGGGAGCGTCTCCGCCCGGCCGCCATCCCATCTAGGAAGTGAGGAGCGCCTCTTCCCAGCCGCCATCACATCTAGGAAGTGAGGAGCGTCTCTGCCCAGCCGCCCATCGTCTGAGATGTGGGGAGCGCCTCTGCCCCGCCGCCCCATCTGGGATGTGAGGAGCGCCTCTGCCCGGCCGAGACCCCACCTGGGAGGTGAGGAGCGTCTCTGCCCGGCCGCCCCATCTGAGAAGTGAGGAGACCCTCTGCCTGGCAACCACCTCGTCTGAGAAGTGAGGAGCCCCTCCGCCCGGCAGCTGCCCCGTCTGAGAAGTGAGGAGCCTCTCCGCCCGGCAGCCACCCCATCTGGGAAGTGAGGAGCGTCTCCGCCCGGCAGCCACCCCGTCCGGGAGGGAGGTGGGGGGGGGTCAGCCCCCCGCCCGGCCAGCCGCCCCATCCGGGAGGGAGGTGGGGGGGTCAGCCCCCCGCCCAGCCAGCCGCCCCGTCCGGGAGGTGAGGGGCACCTCTGCCCGGCCGCCCCTACTGGGAAGTGAGGAGCCCCTCAGCCCGGCCAGCCACCCCGTCCGGGAGGGAGGTGGGGGGGTCAGCCCCCCCGCCCGGCCAGCCGCCCCGTCCGGGAGGTGAGGGGCGCCTCTGCCCGGCCGCCCCTACTGGGAAGTGAGGAGCCCCTCTGCCCGGCCAGCCACCCCGTCCGGGAGGCAGATGGGGGTGTCAGCCCCCCGCCCGGCCAGCCGCCCCGTCCGGGAGGGAGGTGGGGGGGGTCAGCCCCCCTGCCCGGCCAGCCGCCCCGTCCGGGAGGTGAGGGGAGCCTCTGCCCGGCCGCCCCTACTGGGAAGTGAGGAGCCCCTCTGCCCGGCCAGCCGCCCCGTCCGGGAGGGAGGTGGGGGGGTCGGCCCCCCGCCCGGCCAGCCGCCCCATCCGGGAGGGAGGTGGGGGGGGTCAGCCCCCCCTGCCTGGACAGCCGCCCCGTCCGGGAGGTGAGGGGCGCCTCTGCCCGGCCGCCCCTACTGGGAAGTGAGGAGCCCCTCTGTCCGGCCACCACCCCGTCTGGGAGGTGTGCCCAACAGCTCATTGAGAACGGGCCAGGATGACAATGGCGGCTTTGTGGAATAGAAAGGCGGGAAAGGTGGGGAAAAGATTGAGAAATCGGATGGTTGCCGTGTCTGTGTAGAAAGAAGTAGACATGGGAGACTTTTCATTTTGTTCTGCACTAAGAAAAATTCCCCTGCCTTGGGATCCTGTTGATCTGTGACCTTACCCCCAACCCTGTGCTCTCTGAAACATGTGCTGTGTCCACTCAGGGTTAAATGGATTAAGGGCGGTGCAAGATGTGCTTTGTTAAACAGATGCTTGAAGGCAGCATGCTCGTTAAGAGTCATCACCAATCCCTAATCTCAAGTAATCAGGGACACAAACACTGCGGAAGGCCGCAGGGTCCTCTGCCTAGGAAAACCAGAGTCCTTTGTTCACTTGTTTATCTGCTGACCTTCCCTCCACTATTGTCCCATGACCCTGCCAAATCCCCCTCTGTGAGAAACACCCAAGAATTATCAATAAAAAAATAAATTAAAAAAAAAAAAAAGAAATGAGACAGACAGTAATACACTAATAGTGGGGGACTTCCATACTCCACTGACAACACTAAACAGGTCATCAAGACAGAAAGTCAACAAAGAAACAATGGATCCAAACTATACCTTGGGCCAATGGGCTTAACTGATATATACAGAACATTTCATCCAACAGCCACAGAATACACATTCTATTCAACAGTACCGAAAACCTTCTCCAAGATAGACCATATGATAGGCCATGAAATGAGCCTCAATAAATTTAAGAAAATTGAAATTATATCAAGTATTCTCTCAGACCACAGTGGAATAAAACTGGAAATCAACTCCAAAAGGAACCTTCAAAATCATGCAAATACATGAAAATTAAATAAACTGCTCTTGAATGAGCTTTGGATAAAAAATGAAATCAAGATGGACATTAAAAATTTCTTTCAACTGAATGACAATAACCATACAACCTACAAAAACTTCTGGAATACAGCGAAGACTATGCCAAGAGGAAAGTTTACAGCCCTAAATGCCTACCTTAAAAAAACTGAAAGAGCAGAAAATGACATTCTAAGGTCATACCTCAAAAAACTAGAGAAACAGGAGCAAACCAAACCCAAACCCAGCAGAAGAAAGGAAATAACCAAGATCAGAGAAGAATGAAATAAAATTGAAACAAGAAAAACAATAGAAAAGATAAATGAAACAAAAAGCTGGTTCTATGTGAAGATAAATAAAATTGATAGGCCATTAGCAAGACTAACCAAGAAGAGAGAAAATCCAAAGAACCTCACTAAGAAACAAAACAGGTGAAATTACAACTGACACTACCGAAATACAAAAGATTATTCAAGGATACTATGAACACCTTTACACACAAAAACTAGAAAACCTAGAAGAGATGGATACATTCTTGGAAAAAATACAACCCTCCTAGCTTAAATCGGGAAGAATTAGATACCCTGAAAAGACCAATAACAAGCAGAGACACTGAAAGGGTAATTAAAAAATTACCAATAAAAAAAGTAAAAGACCAGAAGGATTCACAGCAGAATTCTATCAGACATTGAAAGAAGAATTGATAGCAATCTTTTTGACACTATTTCAGAGGAAAGAAAAAGAAGGAACCTTCCATAATTCATTGTATGAAACCAGCATCACTCTAATACCAAAACCAAAGAAGGACATAACCAAAAAAGAAAATGACAGACCAATATCCCTGATGAACATAGATGCTATAATTCTTAACAAAATACTAGCTAGCCAAATCCAAAAACATATCAAATAGATAATCCAGCCTGATTAAGCAGGTTTTATGCCAGGGATGCAGGGATAGTTTAACATATGCGAGTGAATAAATGTGATACATCATATAAACAGAATTAAAAAGAAAAATCACATGATCATCTCAACAGATGCAAAAAAAATTCGACAAAATTAAGCATCCCTTTATGAATAAAACTCTCAGGAAAAATAGCATAAAGAAACATTATTACATTAATGTAATAAAAGCCATCTACGAATGACAAACCCACAGTCAACATAATACCCAATGGGGAAAAACTGAATGCATTCCGTCTGAGAATGGGAAAAACACAATGATGCCCACTCTCACCACTCCGCTTCAACATAGTACTGGAAACCCTAGCCAGAGCAATTGGAAAAGAGAAAGAAATAAAGGGTATCCAAATCGATAAAGAGGAAGTCAAACTGTCACTCTTTGCTGACAATATTATTGTTTACCCTGAAAATTCTAAAAACTATCCTCGAACTGATAAAAGAATTCAGCAAAGTTTCTGGATACAAGATTAATGTACACAAATCAGTAGATATTTTTTTATTTTTATTATACTTTAAGTTTTAGGGTACATGTGCACAATGTGTAGGTTACTTACATATGTATACATGTGACATTCTGGTGCGCTGCACCCACTAACTCGTCATCTAGCATTAGGTATATCTCCCAGTGCTATCCCTCCCCCCTCCCCCCACCCCACAGCAGTCCCCAGAGTGTGATGTTCCCCTTCCTGTGTCCATGTGTTCTCATTGTTCAATTCCCACCTATGAGTGAGAATATGTGGTGTTTGGTTTTTTGTTCTTGTGATAGTTTACTGAGAATGATGATTTCCAATTTCATCCATGTCCCTACAAAGGACATGAACTCATCATTTTTTATAGCTGCATAGTATTCCATGGTGTATATGTGCCACATTTTCTTAATCCACTCTATCATTGTTGGACATTTGGGTTGGTTCCAAGTCTTTGCTATTGTGAATAGTGCCCCAATAAACATATGTGTGCATGTGTCTTTATAGCAGCATGATTTATAGTCCTTTGGGTATATACCCAGTAATGGGATGGCTGCGTCAAATGGTATTTCTAGTTCTAGATCCTTGAGGAATTGCCACACTGACTTCCACAATGGTTGAACTAGTTTCCATTCCCACCAACAGTGTAAAAGTGTTCCTATTTCTCCACATCCTCTCCAGCACCTGTTGTTTCCTGACATTTTAATAATTGCCATTCTAACAGGTGTGACATGATATCTCATTGTGGTTTTGATTTGCATTTCTCTGACGGCCAGTGATGGTGAGCATTTTTTCATGTGTCTTTTGGCTGTATAAATGTCTTCTTTTGAGAAGTGTCTGTTCATATCCTTCGCCCACTTTTTGATGAGGTTGTTGGTTTTTTTCTTGTAAATTTGATTGAGTTCATTGTAGATTCTGGATATTAGCCCTTTGTCAGATGAGTAGGTTGTGAAAATTTTCTCCCATTTTGTGGGTTGCCTCTTCACTCTAATGGTAGTTTCTTTTTGCTGTGCAGAAGCTCTTTAGTTTAATTAGATCCCATTTGTCAATTTTGGCTTTTGTTGCCATTGCTTTTGGTGTTTTAGACATGAAGTCCTTGCCCATGCCTATGTCCTGAATGGTAATGCCTAAGTTTTCTTCCAGGGTTTTTGTGGTTTTAGGTCTAACATTTAAGTCTTTAATCCATCTTGAATTGATTTTTATATAAGGTGTAAGGAAGGGATCCAGTTTCAGCTTTCTACATATTGCTAGCCAGTTTTCCCAGCATCATTTATTAAAAAGGGAAACCTTTCCCCATTGCTTGTTTTTCTCAGGTTTGTCAAAGATCAAATAGTTGTAGATATGCGGCGTTATTTCTGAGGGCTCTGTTCTGTTCCATTGGTCTATATCTCTGTTTTTGTACCAGTACCATGCTGTTTTGGTTACTGTAGCCTTCTAGTACAGTTTCAAGTCAGGTAGCATGATGCCTCCAGCTTTGTTCTTTTGGCTTAGGATTGACTTGGTGATGCGGGCTCTTTTTTGGTTCCATATGAACTTTAAAGTAGTTTTTTCCAATTCTGTGAAGAAAGTCATTGGTAGCTTGATGGGGATGGCATTGAATTCATAAATTACCTTGGGCAGTATGGCCATTTTCACGATATTGATTCTTCCTACCCATGAGCATGGAATGTTCTTCCATTTATTTCTATCCTCTTTTATTTCATTGAGCAGTGGTTTGTAGTTCTCCTTGAAGAGGTCCTTCATTTCCCTTGTAAGTTGGATTCCTAGGTATTTTATTCTCTTTGAAGCAATTGTGAATGGGAGTTCACTCATGATTTGGCTCTCTTTTTGTTGATTATTGGTGTATAAGAATGCTTGTGATTTTTGCACATTGATTTTGTATCCTGAGACTTTGCTGAAGTTGCTTATCAGCTGAAGGAGATTTTGGGCTGAGACAATGGGGTTTTCTAGATATATAATCATGTCATCTGCAAACGGACAATTTGACTTCCTCTTTTCCTAATTGAATACCCTTTATTTCCTTCTCCTGCCTGATTGCCCTGGCCAGAACTTCAAACACTATGTTGAATAAGAGTGGTGAGAGAGGGCATCCCTGTCTTGTGCCAGTTTTCAAAGGGAATTCTTCCAGTTTTTGCCCATTCAGTATGATATTGGCCGTGGGTTTGTCATAGATAGCTCTTATTATTTGGACATACGTCCCATCAATACCTAATTTATTGAGAGTTTTTAGCATGAAGTGTTGTTGGATTTTGTCAAAGGCCTTTTCTTCATCTATTGA
This sequence comes from Homo sapiens, assembly GCF_000001405.40. Classification (NCBI taxonomy): domain Eukaryota; kingdom Metazoa; phylum Chordata; class Mammalia; order Primates; family Hominidae; genus Homo; species Homo sapiens. The sequence goes on along the minus strand of NC_000023.11, from coordinate 76,213,079 downwards.
GATAATCATGTGGTTTTTGTCTTTGGTTCTGTTTATATGTTGGATTACATTTATTGATTTGCATACATTGAACCAGCCTTGCATCCCAGGGATGAAGCCCACTTGATCATGGTGGATAAGCTTTTTGATGTGCTGCTGGATTCAGTTTGCCAGTATTTTATTGAGTTTTTTTGCATCAATATTCATCAAGGATATCCGTCTAAAATTCTCTTTTTTGCTTGTGTCTCTGCCTGGCTTTGGTATCAGGATGATGCTGGCCTCATAAAATGAGTTAGGGAGGATTCCCTCTTTTTCTATTGATTGGAATAGTTTCAGAAGGAATGGTACCAGTTCCTCCTTGTACCTCTGGTAGAATTCGGCTGTGAATCCATGTGGTCCTGGACTCTTTTTGGTTGGTAAGCTATTGATTATTACCACAATTTCAGCTCCTGTTATTGGTCTATTCAGAGAGTCAACTTCTTCCTGGTTTAGTCTTGGGAGGGTGTATGTGTCAAGGAATTTATCCATTTCTTCTAGATTTTTTAGTTTATTTGCATAGAGGTGTTTGTAGTATTCTCTGATGGTAGTTTGTATTTCTGTGGGATTGGTGGTGATATCCCCTTTATCATTTTTTATTGCGTCTATTTGATTCCTCTCTCTTTTCTTCTTTATTAATCTTGCTAGTGGTCTATCAATTTTGTTGATCCTTTCAAAAAACCAGCTCCTGGATTCATTAATTTTTTGAAGGGTTTTTTGTGTCTCTATTTCCTTCAGTTCTGCTCTGATTTTAGTTATTTCTTGCATTCTGCTAGCTTTTGAATGTGTTTGCTCTTGCTTTTCTAGTTCTTTTAATTGTAATGTTAGGGTGTCAATTTTGGACATTTCCTGCTTTCTCTTGTGGGCATTTAGTGCTATAAATTTCCCTCTACACACTGCTTTGAATGTGTCCCAGAGATTCTGGTATGTTGTGTCTTTGTTCTCGTTGGTTTCAAAGAACATCTTTATTTCTGCCTTCATTTCGTTATGTACGCAGTAGTCATTCAGGAGCAGGTTGTTCAGTTTCTATGTAGTTGAGCGGTTTTGAGTGAGATTCTTAATCCTGAGTTCTAGTTTGATCGCACTGTGGTCTGAGAGACAGTTTGTTATAATTTCTGTTCTTTTACATTTGCTGAGAAGAGCTTTACTTCCAAGTATGTGGTCAATTTTGGAATAGGTGTGTTGTGGTCCCGAAAAAAGTGTATATTCTGTTGATTTGGGGTGGAGAGTTCTGTAGATGTCTATTAGGTCCACTTGGTGCAGAGCTGAGTTCAATTCCTGGGTATCCTTGTTGACTTTCTGTCTCGTTGATCTGTCTGATGTTGACAGTGGGTTGTTGAAGTCTCCCATTATTAATGTGTGGGAGTCTATTTCTCTTTGTAGGTCTCTCAGGACTTGCTTTATGAATCTGGGTGCTCCTGTATTGGGTGCATATAGATTTAGGATAGTTAGCTCTTCTTGTTGAATTGATCCCTTTACCATTATGTAATGGCCTTCTTTGTCTCTTTTGATCTTTGTTGGTTTAAAGTCTGTTTTATCAGAGACTAAGATTGCAATCCCTGTTTTCCAATTGCTTGGTAGATCTTCCTCCATCCTTTTATTTTGAGCCTATGTGTGTCTCTGCACGTGAGATGGGGTTTCCTGAATACAACACACTGAGGGGTCTTGACTCTTTATCCAATTTGCCAGGCTGTGTTTTTTAATTGGAACATTTAGTCCATTTACATTTAAAGTTAATATTGTTATGTGTGAATTTCAAACCGTCATTATGATGTTAGCTGGTTATTTTGCTCGTTAGTTGTTGCAGTTTCTTCCTAGTCTCGATGGTCTTTACATTTTGGCATGATTTTGCAGCGGCTGGTACCGGTTGTTCCTTTCCATGTTTAGTGCTTCCTTCAGGAGCTCTTTTAGGGCAGGCCTGGTGGTGACAAAATCTCTCAGCATTTGCTTGTCTGTAAAGTATTTGATTTCTCCTTCACTTATGAAGCTTAATTTGGCTGGATATGAAATTCTGGGTTGAAAATTCTTTTCTTTAAGAATGTTGAATATTGGCCCCCACTCTCTTCTGGCTTGTAGAGTTTCTGCCGAGAGATCTGCACAAATCAGTAGATCTTCTATACACCAACAGCGACCAAGCAGAGAATCAAATGAAGAACTCAACTTCTTTTACAATTGCTGCAAAAATATAATAAAATGCATAGTAATATACATAGCTAAGGAGTCAGAAGACCTCTACAAAGAAAACTACAAAATACTGCTGAAAGAAATCATAGATGACACAAACATATAGAAACACCTCCCATGCTCATGGACAGGTAGAATCAATATTGTGAGAATGACCATACTGCCACAAGCAATCTACAAATTTAATGCAATCCCCATCAAAATACCACCATCTTTCTTCACAGAATTTAAAAAAAAAATCTAAAATTTACATGCAACCAAAAAACAGCCCGCATAGCCAAAGCAAGACTAAGAAAGAAGAACAAATCTGGAGGCATCACACTACCTGATTTCAAATTATATTGTAAGACAATAGTCACCGAAACATCGTGGTACTGGTGTAAAAATAGGCACAAAGACCAAGGGAACACAATAGAGAAGCCAGAAATAAACCCAAACATTTACAGCCAACTGACCTTCACCTTCGACAAAGCAAAAAAAATAAATAAATAAATAAAAAATAAAGTGGGGGGAAAGGACACACTTTGCAACTAATGGTGCTGGGATCATTGGCCAGTCACATGTAGGAGAACAAAACTGGATCCTCATCTTTCACTTTATAGTAAATCAACTCAAGATGGATTAAGGACTTAACCTAAGATCTGAAACTATAAAAATTCTAGAAGATAACATTGGCAAAAACCCTTCTAGACATTGGCTTAGGCAAGGTTCTAATGACCAAGAACCCAAAAGCAAATGCAATAAAACAAAAAATAAATAGCTGGGACCTAATTAAGCTAAAGAGCTTTTGTACAGCAAAAGGAGCAGTCAGCAGAGTAAATAGACAACCCACAGAGTGGGAGAAAGTCTTCACAATCTATACATCTGACAAAGGACTAATATCCAGAATCTACGAGAAACTCAAACCAATCAGTAAGAAAAAAAAATCCCATAAAAAAGTGGTCTAAGGACATAAATAGACAACTCTCAAAGCAAGATATACAAACGGCCAACAAACATATGAAAACATACTCAACATCTCTGATGATCAGGGAAATGCAAATCAAAACCACAATGCAATACCACCTTACTCCTGCAAGAATGACCATAATCAAAAAATTAAAAAACAGTAGATGTTGGCATGGATGCAGAGATCAGGGAACACTTCTACACTCCTGGTGGGAATGTAAACTAGTACAGCTGCTATGGAAAACAGTGTGGAGATTCCTTAAAGAAGAACTAAAAGTAGAGCTGCTATTTGATCCAGCAATCCCACTACTGGGTATGTACTGCAAGGAAAATAAGTCATTATTCGAAAAAGATACTTGCACACTCATGTTTATAGCAGCATAATTCACAATTGCAAAATTGTGGAACCAATCCAAATGTCCATCAATCAATGAGTGGTTAAGGAAACTGTGATATATATATAGAGAGAGATATATATATAGATATATATATGTAGATATATATGTAGATATATATATAGATATATATATGTAGATATATATATGGATATATATATGTAGATATATATATAGATATATATATAGATAGATATATGATGGAATACTACTCAGCCATAAAAAGGAATGAATTAGCAGCATTTGCAGTGACCCGGGTGAGATTGGAGACGATTATTCCAAGTGAAGTAACTCAGGAATGGAAAACCAAACATCATATGTTCTCACTGATATATGGGAGCTAAGCTCTGAGGATGCAAAGGCATAAGAATGATATAATGGACTTTGGGGTCTTGGGGGAAAGAGTGGGAGGGGAGCGAGGGATAAAAGACTACAAACAAATGTGGTGCATTGTATACTGCTTGGGTGATGGGTGCACCAAAATCTCACAAATCACCACTAAAGAACTTACTCATGTAACCAAATACTACCTGTACCGCAATAACTTATGAAAAAATTTAAAAATTTTAAAAGTATATAAAAATTAATTAATCTACCTCTGACCTGGAAGCCCCCACTTCCAGTTGTCTCACCCTTCCAGATTGAATAAATGTAAATTTTACATGTACTGACTGATCTATTATGTGTCTCTAAAATGTATAAAAGCAAGCTGTACCCTGACCACTTGGGGCATATGTCGTCAAGACCTCCTGAGGCTGTGTCATGGGTGTGTCCTTAATCTTGGCAAAATAAGCTTTATAAATTCATTGAGACTTGTCTCCAATACTTTTTGGTTTTCAGAACTCATACCACAGAAATATAAAAGATTAAAAGAAAGTACTATGAACAATCAAAACCAATGAATTTGATAACCAAGAAGAAATGGATAAATTTCCAAAAACATACAAACTGTCAAAACTAAGTCATGAGGAACAGATCATCTGAACAGACTAATATCAGGACTAATATCAGAAAAAAGGCAAAATATGGCTTAACTGGTGAATTATATCAAACATTTAAAGAATTAATAACAATCCTTCTAAAATTCTTTCCAAAACACTGAAGAGAAGGAAATACTTCCAAACTCATTTAATGATGCCAGCATTACCCTGATAGTGTTCTCGGAACCAAGCTGGGTCTGGCTGTGTTTTCTCGAGACCTAGTAATGAGAAGCAGACAAACTAGGAAAGAAGGGAATTTATTGCTGTTACCGAATATACGGAAAAGGCTGCAGATAATTTCACCAGACCAATTCAAAGTGTTAAAATTTTCGTAGTGCTTATGTAAGTTGGGGTTATGTGTCTATGTGCAGTATAGCATTCGGCTAAGTCTATTGATAACTAATTTTGTTACAACTAGAAGGTCAGAGGCAAAAAAAAAAAAAAAAAATGCTTGCTAAGTCTGATTAAAAAGGCTCCAGTACCTTCAAGTCTTGTTTACTGTGGTAATGGAGTGATTATTTCTGTCTTATCTCCTTTACAGCTTGGTCGGGAGACATGCCTTAGATCTCCAATGACTCTATTCAAACAACTGCCTCTATTACCTTGATGTGTCTCAGATTTCTTTGACCTGAGACAGGTCCTGGCACTAGGAATGTAAGACTGTCTGTCTCTATTATTTTGGCTTGCTCCAGGTTAGAGAGAAGCCCATCAAAGGCTCCTGCTGACCATATGTTTCATTTCTGGCTTTGATATATGGGCACTGATTTCCCTAGGTTTAACTATTTGCCCAATGTTAAGACAGCTCTGTGGAAATTTGTCTGTGTAACTGAAGTGTTATGCAGGCCTGTCTGTGTGATCATCAGGGAGAATTGGTCTGCCATAATATCAAAGCCAGACAATGATACTACAAGAAAAGAAACTATAGTCCCAATATCCCTGATGAACATAGATGCAAACATCCTCAACAAAATACTAGCAAACCAAACTAAACATCACATTAAGATGGTCATACATCATGATCAAGTGGGATTTATCCCTGTGATGCTAGGGAGGTTAAACATACACAAATCAATACATGTGACATACCACATTTACAGAATGAAGGACAAAAATCATATAATCATCTCAATTCATGCAGAAAAAGCAGTTGAAAAAATTCAACAAACTTTCATTTTAAAAAACTCAAAAAATGAGGTACAAAAAAATACCTAAACACAATAAAGGTCATATATGAAAAGGGAAGAGCAAGATGGTGGAATAGAAAGTGCCACTGGTTGACTCCCCAACCCTACCCCACAAGGACACCAAGTTAAAAACTACCCAGAAAAAATACCTTCATAAGATAGAAAAATTAGGTGAGCACTCATAGCACCTGCTTTTAACTTCATAGTGCTAAAATTGGTACTGAAGAGATTTTAAAAAACAGTCCTGAACCTCTGACGCCACCCCTCCCAAACCCTGGGCAGCAGCAGCATGGTGCGGAAAGTGTCTCAGGGTGCTAGGGGAAGGAGAACACAGCAATTGTGAGGCATCGAACTCAGTGCTTTCCTATTAGAGCAGAAAGGAAAAACAGAACAAACTCAGCTTATGCCCGCCCACAAAGGGAGCATTTAAACCAGCCCTAGCCAGAAGGGCTAATCCCAGGATCCAAAGTTGAATACTTGCAAACCAAGGGCTACAGTGCTCTGTATCTCCAAGTAAACTTGAAAGGCAGTCTAGGCCATAATGACTACAATTCTTAGGTGAGTCCTATGGCAGAACTAGGCCCAGAGACAGTGGACTGGGGGTGGGGTGGGGGACTTGACATACTGAGAGTCCAGCTGGGGCAGCCAAGGGAATCCTGGCATCATTCCTCCCCTAAACCCAGACTCCATAAATAGACCCTTTTCCTTCCACTTGAGGAGAGGAGAAAGAATAGTAAGAAGGCCTGTGTCTTATATCTAGAATATCAGACCAGCCACAGCAGAATAGGGCACTAGTCAGAGTCATGAGGCCCCCATTCCAGATCCAAGTTCCCAGATGACATTTCAAGACACATACAGGGCCAAAAGGAAACCTGTTGTCTTGAAGTAAAGGATGAAGTCCTGACAGTAATCATCATGTGCTAGCTAAATAGCCCTTGAGTCCTGAATAACCAGCAGGAATACCCTGGTACTATATCACGGGCTTGGGTGAGCCTCTGAGACTTGCTGGCTCCAGGTAAGACTCAGCACATAACCATCACAAGTGGGTAGAGCACCAAGTAAGCTCTTGGGGTCACCAATTTCAGGACTTGACTCTTGGATGGCATTTCTGGATCTGCCCTGGGCCAGAGGGGAGTCCACTGCCCTGAGGTTTGACTCCTAAGCCAGGGAGCATTCACAGCAAGCTGCCTTGAAAGACCTTGTGCCTTAAAGGACCATTCTCAGTAGTCCAGCAGTACTCTTCATGATCTGTGAAGGCAATGGCTACAGGATGAGGCTTCTCTGCCTTTGGACAGGGAAGAGAAAAGTGGAAAGGACTGCATCATATGAATTGAGTACCAGCTCAGTCACTACAAAATAGAATGCCATGTAGAATTCTAAAATTTTTGACTATGGTTTCTAACTCCCAAAAAGCATTTCTGAACCCACCTGGTAATTGAGGGATCTCACTGCCTGAACGAAGGACACAGGCCTGGCTGGCATTGCTATCTGCAGTTGGTAGAGCCCCAGGGACTTGAGCGAACATAGGCAGTAGCCAGAGAGTGGTGACAGCAGGTATTGAGGTGACCCAGCACTGTGCTGGCTTTAGGTTTGACCCAGTGCAGTCATAGAGGTAATGGCAATAATATCACTCCACCCCCAGCTTTAGGGGGCTCAGAAAAGAGAGACTCTGTATTTTTTTGGAGAAAGTAAAAGAAAGGAGTAAAAGTCTCTGCCTAGAAACCCAGAGAATTCTCCTGGATCTTATCCAAGACCATCAAGGCAGTACATATATGAGTCTGCAAGATCTACAGCATTACAGGGCTTGGGGTGCCCCCTAAAGCAGATACAACTTAGATGATAACAACTAGTTTCTCTCAAATATCTGAAAAGTCTTCCTAAGAAGAATGACTACAAATAAGCATAGACAGTGAAAACTACAATAAATACCTAACCCTTCCATGCCCAGACACCAAAGAACATCTACTAGTATCAACACCATCCAGGAAAACATGACCCCACCAATAAACTAAATAAGGCACCAGGGATCAATCCTGAAGAAACAGAGATATGTGACCTTTCAGAAAGAGAACTCAGTTATGTTGAGGAAACTGAAAGAAATTCAAGATAACATAGGGGACAAATTCAGAATTCTCTCAAATACACTTAACCAATAAATTAAAATAATTTAAAAGAATCAAGCAGAAATTCTGGAGATTTAAAATGCAATTGGCATACTGAAGAATGCACCAGAGTTCTTTAACAGCAAAATTGATCAAGCAGAATAAAGAATTAGGGAGCTTGAAGACAGGCTATTTGAAAATACACAGTCAGAATAGATAAACAAAAAAAGAATAAGGAACAATGAAGCATGCCTAAAGGATTTAGAAAATATCTTCAAAAGGGCAAATCTAAAAGTTATTGGCCTTAAAGAGGGTACAGAGAAAGAAGTGGGGGTAGATAAATAATAGTAGAGAACTTCTCAAACCTAGAAATAGACATCAATATTCAAGTACAAGAAGATAATAGGACATCAAGCAGATTTAACCTAAAGAAGACTACCTCAAGACATAATTGAACTCTGAAAAGTCAAAGATAAAGAAAGGATTATAAAAGCAATAAGAGAAAAGAAACAAATAGCGTACAATGCAGCAGACTTTTTAGTAGAATCTTTACAGTCTAAAGGAGAGTGGCATAACATATTTACAGTGCTGAAAGGAAAAAACTTTTACCCTAGAAGAGTGTATCCAGTGAAAACATTCTTCAAACATAGAGAAATAAATACTTCCCCAGACAAACAAAAGCTGAAGGATTTCATCAATACCAGGCATGTACTAGAAGAAATGCTAAAGGGAGTACTTCAATCAGAAAGAAAAAAACATTAATGAGCAACAAATAATCACCTGAACATATAAAATTCACAGGTAACAGTAAGTACACACAAAAACACAGAATATTATAACATTGTGACTATGGTGTATAAGCTACTTTTATCATAACTAGAAAAACAAAACAATGAACTAATAAAAAATAATAACTACAACAGCTTTTCAATACATAGTAAAGACAATAACAAATATAAACAACAAAAAGTTAAAAGGTAGGGGGATGAAGTTAAGGCACAGAGTTTTCTTTTTGTTTGTCTATACAAATAGTGTTAAGTTGTTCTCAGTAAAAATAATGGGTTGAAAGATAGTATTTGCAAGCCTCATAGTAACTTCAAACCAGAAAACAAAATGGACATACAAAAAATAAAAAGCAAAAAGCAAAAAACTAAATTATATTATCAGATAAAATATTATTCCCTAGAGGAAGACAGAAAGGAATGAAAGAAAGAAAGAGAAAGAAAGAAAGAAAGAAAAGAAAGAAAGGAAGGAAGGAAGGAAGGAAGGAAGGAAGGAAGGAAGGAAGGAAGGGAAAGAAGACCATACAACAATTAGAAAACAAATAACAAAATGGCCATAATAAGTTTTTACTTATCAAAAATACATTGAATGAAAATGGACAAAACTGTCCAATTAAAAAACATAGAATAACTAGATAGATAAAACAACAAGACTCATTGATCTGTGGCCTACAAGAAACACACTTCACCTATAAACATACACATAGACTGAAAAAAAGGATGAAAAAAAATATGCCACACCAATGGAGAAAAAAAAAAAGCAAGAGTCACTATGCTTATATCAGACAAAATGGATTTCGAGACAAAAACTATGAGACGAGACAAAGAGGGTCACTATATAATGATAAACTGGACAATTCAGCAAGAGGATATAATAATTTTAAATATATACGCACCCAACACTGGAGAACAAAGATATATAAAGGAAAAATTGTTAGAGCTCAAGAGGGAGATAGGCCTCAATACAATCATAGCTAGAAACTTCAGCACCTCCTTCTAGCTAAAAAATCAACAAAGAAACGTCAGACTTAATCTGCACTATAGACCAAATGGATCTAATAGATATTTACAGAATATTTCATTCAACAACTACAGCATAAACATTCTTTTCCTCACCTCACAGATCATTCTCTAGGATAAACCATATGTTAGGTCACAAAACACATATTAAGTCATTCAAAAAATGAGATAATATCAAGCATCTTCTCTGACCACGGTGGAATAATACTAGAAATTAATAACAAGAATTTTGGAAAATATAAAAATGGAGACTCAGGATCATCAGGGTGTACAGGAGGCAGGACTAGATTACAGCTCCAACTCAGACAAACAGAGCAGCATGCAGAATTTTAGCATTGTGAATTTTAGCTCGAGAACAACTGTGGAAATGAATCAGGTATCCTGAGTGGACCCACAGACCCTCTGAAGGAAGCGGACTGCTACTGCAGGACCCGGGAGACACTCCAAATACTATGAGTGCCCAAACTGTGGAAGTAGGGAAGGGAGATCTTCCACCCATGAACACAAACCTTCATTGGGAAAGTTGAAGGTCTACTTTGTGAGAAAATATTTCAACCTTAGTTGGAGATGAGTCAATTTAGAGAGCTGAGCAAAATACAAGGGTAGAGGAAGCAATAAAAAAGGCCCTGGGAGCTTGCTGAGTCCCCAAGTAGGCCACTTCTGCCTGGCATCACAGGAATCCTTTGGGAAGGCAGCCAGAGATGTGGGAAAAACACCCCAGGGAGAAGGAAGTCTCCAGCTAAACTTTGTAACAATTTGAACTAGTTAAGAAGCCTCCTGGTCAAAACTCAGAGGAGGGCACAAATCTGGCATGCAGACTCCACAGGCAGGAGAAGAAACAAAGCCCTTTTCTTTTGGAGTTGGGAGGAGGGTAGCCTGAGGCAAGTTCTCAGCCCTGCTTGCCTACTGCCTGGAAACAGACTTGGTGCTGTTATGGGGGGCATGGTGGGAGTGAGACTGGCCCTTCAAATTGTCTGGGAGTTGGGTGAGGTCTGTGACTGCTGGCTCTCCCCCACTTTCCTGACAACCTGCAGGACCCAGCAAGGACAGCCATAATCTTTCTAGGTACATCAATACATTGACCTGATACCTCACCCACGTAACCCACAGCAGCCGCAGCAAGACCCACCCAAAAAGAGTCTGAGCTCAGACAGGTCTAGCTCTGCCCCTACCAGATGGTCCTTTTCTACCAATCCTGGTAGCTGAAGACAAAGGCCATATACTCTTGGGAGTTCTAGGGCCCCACCCACCACCACTACCACTCCATACTACCACAGCTGATGCTCTCTGGAAAGCACCACCTCCTGGCAGGAGGCCAACCAGCACAAAAATAAAGCATTGAACTACCAAAGCTAAGGTCCCTCATGGAATCCATTTCAACCCCCTGCCACCTCCACTGGAACAGGTGCCGGTATTCACAGCTGAGAGACCCATGGACAGTTCATATCACAGGACTCTGTGAAGACAACCCTCAGTACCAGCCTGGAGCCTGGTAGACTTGGTGGGTAGCTAGATCCAGAAGAGATAACAATCACTACAGCTTGGCTCTCAGGAAGCGATATCCATAGGAAAAGGGGAAGACTACTACATCAAGGGAACACCACGTGGGTCTAGGGTTGAATAACAGCTTTCAACCCTAGACCTCTCCTCTGACAGAGCCTACCCAAATAAGAGGAAACCAGAAAATCAACTCTGGTAATATGACCCCAAAAAAAGGCTCTTTATCACCCTCAAAAAATTACACTAGATCACCAGCAATGGATCCAAACCAAGACGAAATTCATTATTTACCTGAAAAAGAATTCAGGAGGTTAGTTACTAAGCTAATCAAAGAGGCACCAGAGAAAGACAAAGCCCAATGCAAGAAAATCCCCAAAAAAATGATACAAGAAGTGAAGGGAGAAATAATCAAGAAAATAGACAGCATGAATAAAAAACAATCAAAACTTCTCAGAACATTGGGCAAACCTATAGAAATGGGAAATGCTCTGAAAAGTCTCAGCAATAGAATTGAAGAAATAGAAGAAAGAAATTCAGAACTCGAAGACAAGGTCTTTGAATTAAACCAATCCAACAAAGACAAAGATAAAAGAATTTTAAAGAAATGAAAAAAGCCTCCAAGAAGTCTGAGAATATGTTAAATGACCCAACCTAAGAATAATCGGTGTCCCTGAGCAAGAAGAGAATTCTAAAACATTGGAAAATATATTGGGGGAATAATTGAGGAAAACATCCCTGGATTTGCTAGAGACCTAGCAAACAAGACATCAAGACAGAAGGTCAACAAAGAAACAATGGATTTAAACTGTGCTTTGGAACAAATGGACTTAACAGATATATACAAAATATTCCATCCAACCTCAGAATACACATTTTATTCAACAGCACATGGAAATTTCTCCAAGATAAACCATATGATAGGCCACAAAATGAGCCTGAATAAATTCAAGAAAATTGAAGTTATACCAAGCACTCTCTCAGACCACAGTGGAATAAAACTGGAAATTCACTTCAAAATGAATCTTCAAAACCATGAAAATGAATGGAAATTAAATAACCTGCTCCTGAATGAGCATTAGATCAAAAACAAAATTAAAATACAAGTTAAAAAATTATTCAAACTGAATGACAATAGTGACATAACCTATGAAAACCTGTGGGATACAGCAAAGGTGGTGCTAATAGAAAAGTTAACAGCCCTAAATGTCTACATCAAAAAGACTAAAAGAGCTGAAACATACAATCTAAGGTCACACCCCAAGGAACTAGAGAAACAAGAACAAATCAAGCCCAAAGCCAGCAGAAGAAAGGAAATAACCAAGATCAGAGAACTAAATGAAATTAAAACAAAACAAAATAAAATACAAAAGATAATTTGTTTTTAAAAAGCTGGCTCTTTGAAAAGATAAATAAAGTTGATAAACCATTAGCAAGATTACCCAGGGAAAAAAGAGAGAAAATCCAAATAACCTCAACAAGAAATAAAACGAGAGATATTACAACTGGCACCAAAGAAATACAAAAGGTCATTCAAGGTTACTCTGAACACTTTTATGCACATAAACTAGAAAACCTATAAGAGATGGATAAACTCCTGGAAAAATGCAACCCTCCTAGCTTAGATCAGGAAGAATTAGATACTCTGAAGACACCAATAAAAAGCAGCGAGATTAAAACGGTAATTTAAAAAATAGAAACAAAAAAATGTTCAGGACCAGATGGATTCACAACAGAATTCTATCAGACATTCAAAGAAGAACTGGTAGCAATTCTATTGACACTATTCGACAATAGAGAGAAAGAAGGAACCCTCCCTAATTCATTCTATGAAGTCAGTGTCACCCTCATACCAAAACCAGGAAAGGACATAAGCAAAAAAGAAAACTACAGACTGATATCCCAGATGAACACAGATGCTACAATCCTTTAAAAAAATATATCTAACCAAATCCAACAAAATATCAAAAAGATAATCCACCATGATCAAGTAGGTTTCATACCAGGGATGCAGGGATGGTGTAACATATGCAAGTCAATAAATGTGATACACCACATAAACAGAATTAAAAACAAAAATCACATAGCCATCCCAATAGATGCAGAAACACCATTCAACAAAATCTAGCATCCCTTTATGATTAAAACTCTCAGCAAAATTGGCATTCAAGAAACATACCTCAATGAAATAAAAGCCATCTATGACAAACCCAAAGCCAACATAATACTGAATGAGGAAGAGTTGAAAGCATTTCCTCTGAGAACAGGAACAAGACAAGTACACCCACTCTCACCACTCCTCTTCTACACAGTACTGGATGTCCTAGCTAGAGCAATCAGAAAAGAGAAAGAAACAAAGAGCATCCAAATCGGTATAGAGGAAATCAAACTGTCACTGTTTGCTGATGATATGATTGTATACCTAGAAAACTCTAAAGACTTTTTCAGAAAGCTCCTAGAACTGATAAAATAATTCTGTAAATTTCAAGATACAAGATTAATGTACACAAATTATTAGCTCTTCCATACACCAACGGCAGCTAAGCTGAGAATCAAATAAAGAACTCAATCCCTTTCGCAATAGCTGCAAAAAAAAAAAAAAATACTTAGGAATATACCTAACCAAGGAGTCAAAAGACCTCTATAAGAAAATCTACAAAACACTGCTGAAAGAAATCATCTATGACACACACAAATGGAAACACATCCCATACTCATGGATGGGTAGAAACAATATTGTGAAAATGACCATACTGCCAAAAGCAATCTACAAATTCAATGCAATCCCCATCAAAATACTACCATCATTCTTCACAGAATTAGAAAAAACAATTCTAAAATTCATATGAACCAAAAACACATTCCACATAGACAAAGCAAGGCTAAGCAAAAAGAACAAATCTGTAGGCATGACACTACCTGATTTCAAACTATGCTATAAGGCCATAGTCACAAAAACAGCATGATATTGGTATAAAAATAGGCACATAAACCAGTGGAACAGAATAGAGAACATAGAAATGAACCCAAATACTTATATCCAACTGATCTTCAATAAAAAAAAACAAAAACATAAAGTGGGGAAAAGACATCATTTTCAACAAATATTCCTGGGATGACTGGCTAGCCACATGTAGGAGAATAAAACTGGATACTTATCTCTCACCTTATACAAAAATCAACTCAAGATAGATTAAGGACTTAAATCTAAAACATGAAACTATAAAAATTCTAGAAGATAACATTGGAAAACCCCTTGTAGACATTGACTTAGCCAAGGATTTCAGGACCAAGAACCCAAAAGCAAATGTAATAAAAACAAAGATAAAGAGTTGGGACTTAATTAAACTAAAGAGCTTTTGTACGACAAAAGGAACAGTCAGAAGAGTAAACAGAAAACCCACAGAGTGGGAGAAAATCTTTGCAATCTATACATCTGACAGAAAACTAATGTCCAGAATCTACAATAAATTTAAGTCAGCAAGATATAAACAAATGATTTCATCAAAAAGTGGGCTAAGGACATGAATAGACTTTCTCAAAAGAATACACACAAATGACCAACAAACATATGAAAAAATACTCAACACCACTAATGATCAGAAAAATGAAAATGAAAACCACAATGCGATACCACCTTACTCCTGCAAAAAATGGTCATAATCAAAAAATTAAAAACAGTAGATGTTGGCATGGATGCAGTTATCAGGGAACTCTTCTACGCTGCTGGTGGGAATATAAACTGGTACAACCACCATGGAAAACAGTGTTGAGATTCCTTAAAGAATTAAAAGTAGAACTAATATTTGATCCAGCAATTCCACTACTGGGTATCTACTCAGAGGAAAATAAGTCATTATATGAAAAAGATACTTGCACACACACGTTTATAGCAGCACAATTCGCAATTGCAAAATCGTGGAACCAACCCAGATGCCTATCAATCAACGAGTAGATAAAAAAGCTGTGATTTATATATATATATATATATATATAAATATGATGGAATACTAATCAGCCATAAAGAGGAATCAATTAATGGCATTTGCAGCAACCTAGATAAGATTGTAGACTATTATTCTAAGTGAAGTAACCCAGGAATGGAAAACCAAACATTGTATGTTCTCACTGAAATGTGAGAGCAAACGTATGAGGATATAAGGCATAAGAATGATACAATGGATTTTGGGGACTCAGTGGGGAAGGATGGGAGGAGTGAGGAATAAAAGACTGCAAATGTGATGCAGTGTATACTGCTCGGGTGATAAGTGCACCAAAATCTCACAAATCACCATTAAAGAACTTACTCATGTAACCAAAAACCAACCATACCCCGATACCTATGCAAAAATAAAAAATAAAAATAAATAAAAAGAAAATATACAACTACATGGAAATTAATCAATATGCTTCTGAATGACCAGTGGGTGAATGAAGAAATTAAGAAGAAAATTAAAAAATTTATTGAAACAAATGATAATGGGAACACAGCATACCAAAATATATGGAATACAACAAAGCAGTACTCAGAGTGAAGTTTATAGCTATAAGTGGCTACATAATAAAGAGTAAAAACTTCAAAAAAAATCTAACTATGCAACTTGAACTAGAAAAGCAAGAGCAAACCAAACCTAATAAAATTAGTAGAAGAAAAGAAATAATAAAGATCAGAGAAGAAAGTAAGGAAATTGAAATTAAAAAATACAAAGATCAATGAAACAAAAGTTAGTTTTGTAAAAAGTTAAAATTGACAAACTTTTAGCCTGACTAAGAAAAAAAGAGAGAAGATGAAAATTTAAAAAAAGATATTACAACTGATACTGCAGAAAGTCAAAGGATTATTACTGGTTACTATGAGCAACTATATGCCAATAACTTGGAAAATCTACAAGAAATGGACAAATTTCTAGACACATACAACCTACAAAGAATAAACCAGGGACGAATTCAAAACCTGAATGGACCAATAACAAGTAATGAGATCAAAACTATAATAAAAAAAATCTCTCAAAAAAAAAGTCCAAGACCCAATGTCTTCACTGCTGAATTCTACCAACACCTAAAGGAGAACTAATACTAATCCAGCTGAAATTATTCTAAAAAATAGAGGAGGAGGGAATATTTCCAAACTCATTCTATGAGGCCAATATTACACTGATACCAAGAACATATCAAAAAAAGAAAACTGCAGGCCAATACCTCTGAATAATTGATATGATTTGGCTGTATCCCCACCCAAATCTTATCTTAAATTGTAGGTCCCATAATTCCCACAAGTTGTGTGAGGGACCTGGTAGGAGGTAATTGAATCATGAGGGTAGGTCTTTCCCATGCTGTTCTTATGATACTGAATACGTCTCACAAGATCTGATGGTTTTACAAAGGGGAGCTCCCCTGAAAATGCTCTTTTACCTGCCACCATGCAAAACATGACTTTGCTCCTTTTTTGCCTTCTGACATGATTGTGAGGCCTCCCCAGCCATGTGGAACTGTGACTCAATTAAACTTCTTTCCTTTAAAAATTACCCAGTCTTGGGTATGTCTTTATTAGCAGTGTGAGAACAGACTAATACAGTAAATTGGTACCAGTATTGGGGTGCTGGTGTAAAGATACCCAAAAATGTGGAAGTGACTTTGGAAATGGGTAAAAGGCAGAGGCCGGAACAGTTTGGAGGGCTCAGAAAAAGAAAGGGAGATGTGTGAAAGTTTGGAACTTCCTAGAGACTTGTTGATTGGCTTTGACCAAAATGCTGATAGTGATACTGACAATAAGTTCTAGGCTGAAGTGGTCTCAGATAAAAATGAGGAACTTGTTGGGAACTGGAGTAAAGGTTACTCTTACTATGCAAAGAGACCGGTACCATTTTGCCCCTGCCCTAGGTATCTGTAGAAATTTTAACTTGAGAGAGATTATTTAGGGTATTTGGCAGAAGAAAACTTTGGAAAATTTGCAGCCTGATGATGCAAAAGAAAACCCCATGTTCTTGGGAGAAATTTAAGCCAGCTGCAGAAATTTACATAAGTAATGAGGAGCCAAATGTTAATCACCAAGACAATGGGGAAAATGTCTCCAAAGCTTGTCAGAGACCTTCACGGCAGTGCCTCCCATCGCAGGCCTAGAGGCATAGGAGGAAAAAACAGTTTGGTGGGCCAGGCCCAGGGCCCACCTGCTATGTTCAGCATAGGGACTTGGTGCCCTGCATCTCAGCTGCTCCAGCCATGACTAAAAGAGGCCAAGGTACAGCTCAGACAATGGTTTCAGAGGGTGCAAGCCCCAGTCATTGGCAGTTTCCACATAGCATTGAGTCCTCAGATGCAGAAAAGTCAAGAGTTGAGGTTTGGGAACCTCCGCCTAGATTTCAGATGATGTATGCAAATGCCTGGATGTCTGGCCAGAAGTTAACTGAAGGAGTGGGGCCCTCATGGAGAACCTCTGCTAGGGTAGTGTGGAAGGGAAATTTGAAGTTGAAGCTCCCAAATAGAGTCCCCACTGCGGCACTGCCTAGGGGAGCTGTGAGAAAAGGGCCACTGTTCTTCAGACCCCAGAAAGGTAGATCCACTGAAAGCTTGCACTGTGTGCCTGGAAAAGCCACAGACACTCAATGCCAGCCTGTAAAAGTAGCCAGAAAAAGGGCTGTATCCTGCAAAGCCACAGAAGTAGAGCTGCCCAAGACCATGGGAACCCCCCTTTTGTATCAACATGACTTGGATGTGAGACATGGAGTCAAAGGAGATTATTTTGGAACTTTAAGGTTTAATGACAGCCCTATTGGATTTTGGATTTGCATTGGGCCTGTAGCCCCTCCATTTTGGCCATTGTCTCCCATATGGAATGAGAACATTTACCCAATGCCTGTACCCACATTGTATCTAGAAAGTAACTAACTTGCTTTTGATTTTACAGGCTCATAGGTGGAAAAGACATGCCTTGTCTTAGATGAGACTTTGGACTGTGGGCTTTTCGGTTAATGCTGAAATGAGTTAAGACTTTGGGAGACTATTGAGAAGGTATGATTGGTTTTAAAATGTGAGGACATGAGATCTGGGAGGGGTCAGGGGTGAAATGATATGGTTTGGCTCTGTCCCCACCCAAATCTCATCATAAACTGTAGCTCCCATAATTCCCACATGTCATGGGAGGGACCTGATGGGCATGGGGGCAGGTGTTTCCTGTGCTGTTCTCATGATACTGAATAAGTCTCACAAGATCTGATGGTTTTATGAAAAGAAGTTCTCCTGCACATACTCTCTTTTGCCTGTCACCATGCAAGTCGTGACTTTGCTCTTCCTTTGCCTTTCACCATGACTGTGAGGCCTCCCCAGCCATGTGGAACTATGAGTCACTTAAACCTCTTTCATTTATAAATTACCCAATCTCAGGTATGTCTTTATTAGCAGTGTGAGAACAGACGAATACAACAATATTAATGCAAAAATCATCAACAAAATAGTAGCAAACTAAGTTCTACAATATATTAACAGGATTATTCATTATGATCAAGTGGGATTTAATTCTGGGAGCAAGAATGTTTCAACAATTGCACATCAATCAACATGATACATCACATCAAGAAAATGAAGGATAAAAGCCATATCATTTCAATTGATACTGACAAAGCATTTGATAAAATTAAACATCCATCATTTTTAAAACCCTCAAAATACTGAATATAGATAAAAGCATACCTCAATATAATAAAATTTATATACAACAGATCCACAGTGAGTATCATATTGAATGGGGAAAAACTAAAAGACTTTCCTTTAAAATCTGGAACACAAGGATGTCCACTGTCATTACTATTATTCAACATTGTACTGTAAGTCCTAGCTAGAGTAATCAGACAAGAGAAAGATATGAAGAGAATCCAAATTGGAAAGGAAGAAGTCAAATTGTCCTTGTTTGCTGATGATATAATCTTATATTTGGAAAAACCTATAGATATCACCAAGAAACTATTAAAACTGATAAACAAATTCAGTATATTTATAGGATACAAAATCAATGTACAAAATCAGTAGCATTTCTATATGTCAACAGTGAACAATGTAAAAAATAAATTAAAAAGTAATCCCATATACAATAGCTACACATAAAATTAAATACCTAGAAATTAACTAAAGAATTTAAAATCTCTATAACAAAAACTGAAAAACACTGATGAAGAAAATTGAAGAGAACATTAAAAAATAGAAAAGAATTTTATGTTTATAAATCAGAAAAAAATCAATATTGTTAAAATGTCCATACTACTCAAAGCAATCTATAGATTCAATGCAATCCCCAACAAAATACCAATTACATTCCTCACAGAAATGGAAAAATCAGACCTACAATTTATATGGAACCACAAAAGACCTAGAATAGCCAAAGCTATCCTAAGCAAAAATGACAAGACTGGAGGAATCACATTACCTGACTTCAAATTATACTACAGAGCTACAGTAAGCAAAACAGCATGGCACTGGAATAAAAAGGAGTCAGACGGACCAATGGAACAGAATAGAGAACCTATAAATGAATCCATTTATCTAGAGTGAACTTTTTTTTTTTTTGAGATAGAGTCTTGCTCTGTTGCCCAGGCTGGAGTACAGTGGTGTAATCTTGGCTCACTGCAACCTCCACCTCCTGGGCTCAACTGATTCTGTATTTTTAGTAGAGACAGGTTTTCACCATGTTGGCCAAGCTTGTCTCAAACTCCTGACCTCAAGAGATCCATTTGCCTGGCCCCCCAAACTGCTGGGATTACAAGTGTGAGCCTCCTAACTTATTTTTATAAAGGAGCCAAGAACATACACGAGGAAAAAGTCTTAGATTAATGATGCTGAGAAAACTGGATATCGATATGCAAAAGAATGAAACTAAACCTCTATCTTCCACCATATACAAAAATCAAATTAAAATGCATTAAAGACTTTAATCTGAGACCTCAAACTATGAAACTACTACAAGAAAATATTGGAGAAAATCTCCAGGACATTGATCTGGGCAAAGATTTTCTGAGTAATACCCCACAAGCACCGGTAATCAAAGCAAACATGGACAAATGAGATTACATCCAGTTAAAAAACTTCTGCACAGCAAATAATACAATCAACAATGCACAGAATAGGAGAATATATTTGCAAACTACCCCTCTGACAAGGGATTAATAAGCAGAATATATAGGGAGCTCAAACAATTCAAAAGAAAAAAATATGATCCAATCAAAAAGTGAGCAAAAGATCTGAATAGACATTGATCAAAAGAAGACATAGAAGTGACAATCACATGAAAAGGTGCTCAACATCATCGATCATAAGGTAAATGCAAATAAAAAGTACAGTAAGATACCATCTCACCCCAGTTAAAATGTCTTACATTCAACAGACAGGCAGTAACAAATGCTGGTGAAAATGTGGAGAAAAGGAAGCCCTTGTATACTGTTGGTTAAAATGTAAATTAGTACAACCACTATGAACAGTTTGGTGGTTCCTCAAAAAACTAAAAATAGAGTTACCATATGATCCAGCAATCCCACTGCTGGGTATATACCCAAAAGACAGGAAATCAGTATATCAGGGATATACCTGCACTCCTATGTTTGTTGCAGCACTGTTTACAATAGGTAACATTTGGAAGCAACCTAAGTGTCCATCAACAAATGAATTGATAGAGAAAATGTGCTACATACACACAATAAAGTCTGCAATAAAAAAGAATGAGATTCTATCATTTGCAACAACATAGATGGAACTGGAGATCATTATTTTAGGTGAAATAAGGCACAGAAAGACAAACGTTGAATGTTCTCACCCATTTGTGGGATCTAAAAGTCCAATAAATTGAACTAATGGACATCAAGAGTAGAAGGATGGTTACCAGAGGCTGGGAAAGGTAGTGGGAGGCTGAGGGGGGGAGGAGGTGGGGAGAGTTAATGGGTCCAATAAAATAGAATGAATAAGATCTACTATCTGACTGTACAAGAGGGTGATTATAGTCATAATAACTTAATTATATATTTGTAAATAACTAAAAGAACATAATTGGATTGTTTGTAATTCAAATAATAAATGGTTGAGGTGATGGATATCCTATTTCCCCTTATGATATGCTTATTTCACATTGCATGCCTTTATCAAAACATCTCATGTACCCCATAAATATATACACCATGTACCCACAAAAATGTTAAAAAATAATTTAATTTTTTTAAATCTTTTTAAAAAATATATATGACAAGCCTATAGCTAACATCATACTTAATTGTAAAAAACTGAAAGTTTTATCTCTGAGATTGAGAAGAAGAAAAGAATGCCCACTCTTGCCACTTCTATTTAAAAGCACTGGAAGTCCTAGAGAGCAAATAGAAAATAAAAAGAAATAAACAGCATCCAAATAGGAAAGGAGTAAATTATCTATTTATTTATTTGTTTGTTTTTTATTTTATTATTAATATACTTTAAGTTTTAGGGTACATGTGCACAATGTGCAGGTTTGTTACATATGTATACATGTGCCATGTTGGTGTGCTGCACCTTTTAACTCATCATTTAGCATTAGGTATATCTCCTAATGCTATCCCTTCCCCCTCCCCCAACCCTACAACAGTCCCCGGTGTGTGATATTCCCCTTCCTGTGTCCATGTGTTCTCATTGTTCAATTCCCACCTATAAGTGAGAACATGTGGTGTTTGGTTTTTTGTCCTTGTGATAGTTTGCTGAGAATGATGGTTTCCAGCTTCATCCATGTCCCTACAAAGGACATGAACTCATCATTTTTTATGGCTGCATAGTATTCCATGGTGTATATGTGCCACATTTTCTTAATCCAGTCTATCATTGTTGGACATTTGGGTTGGTTCCAAGTCTTTGCTATTGTGAATAGTGCTGCAATAAACATATGTGTGCATATGTCTTTATAGCAGCATGATTTATTTAAAGATAGCACTGTCTTATATATAGAAGGCCCTAAGTACTCCACCAAAATAACTGTTAGAACTAATGAATGAATTGAGTAAAGTTGCAGGACACAAAAGCAACATAAAAAATTGTAAGCATTTTTATAAACTAAAAATGAACTATCTGAAGAAGTAATCCAGAAAACTGCCCCATTTGCAATGGTTGTAAAAAATAAAATGTCTACGAATAAATTTAACCAAGGAGGTAAAAGATCTCTACACCCAAAACTATACGACAATGATGAAAGAAACTGAAGAAGACTCAAACAAATAGAAAGATATACCATGTTCATGGATTGGAAGAATTAATATTGTTAAAAAATCCATATTACTGAAAGTGGTCTACAGATTCAATGCAATCCCTGTCAAAACTCCAATGAAATTTTCACAGAAATAGCAAAAGAAATTATAAAATTCACATGGAACCACAAAAGATCTGAATAGCCAAAGCAATCTTGAACAAAAATTTAAAAACTGTTTCTAATTATATTACAAAGCAACAGTAATCAAAACAGCATGGTACTGATATAAAAACAGATACATAGATCAATGGAAGAAAAGAGAGAGACCAGAAATAAATCCAACAGTTTATGGTAATTTGATCTAAAAAAAAAGCCAAGAAAACACAAGGGGGATATGACAGTCTCTTCAATAAATACTGTTGGCAAAAGTAGATATCCACATGCTGATGAATGACATTGGACCCTTATTCACCTCATATACAAAAATCAACTCAAAATAGATCAAAGATTCAAATGTAAGATTTGAAAGCATAAAATTACCAGAAGAAAATAAGGCCAAAGCTTTATGACATTTGTCTTGGCAGTAATTTTTTTTAATGGCACCAGAAGCACAGGGAACAAAAGGAAAAATATACAACTGAGACTTCATCAATCTAATGTTTCTCCATAGCAAAGAAAAAAATGAAATCAATGGAAGCGTAGGTAATGAGAAAAAATATTTGCAAGTCATATATCTGATTGGAGGTTAATATCCAAAAATATAAGAAATTCATACAACTCAATAGCAAAAAAAAAAAGAAAAGAAAAATTATCAAAGACCCTGAATAGAAATTTTTTCAAAGAAGAAATGCAAATGGCCAACAGGTATGTGAAAAAATGTCCAACATCACCAATCACCAGGAAAATGCAAATCAAAACTACAATTAAATATCACCACACACCTGTTAGAATGGCCATTATCAAAAGTAAAAAGATAAGTATTGGTGAGGATGTGAAGAAAAGGAACCCCTTGTACACTGTTGTTGAGAATGTATTATAAATTGGTAAAGTCATTATGAAATTAGTATGGAGGTTCCTCAAAATCTTAAAAATAAAATAACCGTATTATCTGGCAGTCTCCCTTTCTGAGTATATATACAAAGAAAATAAAATCACTTCTCAAAGACATACTGCACCCCCAGTGCTCACTGGAGCATTATTCACAATAGCCTAGAAAACAACTTACATGTTTATTGATGGGTGAATGAATAAAGAAAATATGGTGTATATATACATATGTATATATATACACACACCATATATATATGTATACACCATATATATATATATATATATATATGATAAAATAATATTCAGCCTTAAAAATGAAGAAAATTCTGTTATTTGTTACAACACATATAAACCTGGAGGGCATTATGCAAAGTAAAATAAGCCAGATACAGATAGTCAATTACTGCATGATCTCACTTATATGTGAACTCTGAAACAGTTGAACTTATAGAAGCAGAGAGTGGAAGGGTGATGGCCAGTGGCTGGGGTGAAGGAAATGAAGAGATAGTTTTCAAAGGGCACAGACCTTCAATTGCAAGATGAATGAGTTCTGGACTCCTGATGTACAAAATGATGACTATAGTTAATAAAGTATTGTATACGTGAAATTTAAGAGAGTTGATCTTTAGTATTCTCACCAGAAAAAAACAAGTGGTAATAACGGGAGGTGATAGGTATGTTAATTAGCTTGATTGTGGTAATCCATTCATAATGTATTGTATATGTGTATCAAAACATCATGTACAACTTAAATATATACAATTTCATTTCACAATTATACCTCAGTAAAGCTGGTTTAAAAAAAAAGAAGTGTGCAATTAGAAATTCATTGGGTAACAGAGTAACAGACTGGGAACTTGTTTCTAGAATTTGAGAAATGAATAAGCTGAATAAGCTGAAATCAATCATATGCATAGGAGACAAGAATAACTACCTACTGTAACAGTGACTGGGTAGGTAATCATCAAAACATTTTTCTCCTCATTTTCCTGGGCACATGCCTAGAATAAATTTCCCCCTCTCCTCTGCAGTCCTCTTGCAGGGGACTGAGTTATATTTGAAAGAATGTGAGTAGAAGATACATATCAGTTCTAGGACTGGCCAATAAAAATCTCCCATGTAAAATCCTCCATGGGCAATCAGGCAAGAGAAATAAAAAGAAGGTATCCAAATAGGAAAAGAAAAAGTAAAATTATCTCTCTTCACCAATGATATGATTTTATACCTAGAAAACAATACTCTGCCCAAAAGCTCCCAGAACTGATAAATTACTTCAATAAAGTTTCAGGATACAAAATCAATGTACAAAAATCAGTAGCGTTTCTATACACCAATAACATTCAAGCTGAGAGCCAAATCAATAATGCAATTCCATTTACAAAAGCCACAAAATATAAAATACCTAGGAATACACCTATCTAAGGAAGGAAAAGATCTCTACAAGGAGGACTATAAAACACTGATGAAAGAAATAATAGATGACACAAACAAATAAGAAAACATTACATGCTCATTGATTAGAAGAATCAATGTTGTTAAAATGGCTATACTACACAAAGCAATCTACAGATTCAATGCTATCAAACTACCAACATCATTTTTCACAAAAATAGAAAAAAAAATTCCAAATGAAGCCAAAAAAGAGCTGGAATAGTCAAAGCAATCCTAAGCAAAAATAAAAAAGCTGTAGGCATCACATTACACAACTTCTAACTATACTACAAGGCTACAGTAAGCAAAATAGCATGATAATGGTACAAAAACAGACATATAGACCAATGAAAGAGAGTAAGAGAACCCAGAAATAAAGCTGCACACCTACAACCAACTGATCTTCAATAAATTTGATAAAAATAAGAAATGGGGAAAGAAGTTTCTAGTTAGTAAATGGTGCTGGAATAGCTGGCTAGCCCTATGCAGAAGAATGAAACAACCCCTTCCTTTTACCACATACAAAAATTAACATGCTGGATAAAACATTTAAATTTAAGATCTCTTACTATAAAAATCTTAAAAGAAAATCTAGGAAATTCCCTTCTAGATATCAGCTTTGGCAAAGAATTTATGACTAAGTCCTCAAAAGCAATTGCAACAAAAACAAAAATTAACAAATGGGACCTAATTAAAGAGTTTCTGCACACCAGAAGAAACTATTAACAGAGTAAACAGACAGCCTACAGGATGGAAGAAAATATTAACAAACTGCATCTGACAAAGGTGTAATATCCAGAGTCTATAAGTAACTTAAACAATTGAACAGGCGAAAAACCAATAACTTCATGAAAACGTGGGCAAAAGACATGAACAGACACTTCTTAGAAAAAGACATACAAGTAGCCAACAAATATATTTTTAAAAATGCTCATCTTTAATCATCAGAGAAATAAAAATCAAAATCACAGAGATACCATCTCACAACAGTCAGAATGGCTATAAAAATTTAAAAAATAACAGATGTTGGTAAGGCTGTGGATAAAAGGGAACATGTATACATTGCTGGGGGGAACGTAAATTAGTTCAGCCATTGTGGAAAGCAGCTTAGAGGTTTCTCAAAGAATTTAGAATTACCATTCAACACAGCAATCCCATTAGTGGGTATGTACCAAAGGAAAATAAATTGTTCTAGGCCATCACACCTGTAATCCCAGCACTTTGGGAGGCAAAGGTGGGTGGATCACTTGAGGCCAGGAATTCGAGACCAGCCTGGCCAACATGGTGAAATCCCATTTGTACTGAAAATACAAAAATCAGTCGGGTATTGTGGTGCATGCCTATAATCTCAACTACTCAGGAGGCTGAGGCATGAGAATCACTTGAACCTGTAAGGCGAAGATGGCAGTAAGCCGAGATCATGCCACTGCACTCCAGCCTGGGCGACAGAGTAAGACTCTTGTCTCAAAAAAATAAATCATTCTATCAAAGAGCCATATGCATTCATATGTTCATAGCAGCACTATTCACAATAGCAAACATGTAAAATTAACCCAGATGCCCATCAATGGTGTCAGGGATAAGGAAAATGTGGCACATATACACCATGAACCATGAAATACTACACAGCCATAAAAAAGAATGAAATCATGTCCTTTGCAGCAACATGGTCTCACTCGTAAGTAGGAGCTAAACATTGAAAACAAATATACATAAAGATGAGAACAACAGACACTGGGGACTACTAGAGGGGGAGAGTAAAGGAGGAGGTTATGTGCTGAAAAACTACCTATTGGGTACTATGCTCACTATCTGGGTGATGGGACCATCTATACTCCAAACTTGAGCATCATGCAATATACCCAGGTAACAAACCTGCACATGTGTTCCCTGAATCCAAAATTTAAAACATTTCAAAAACTAGCCAGTTATATAGTCAAGTGGCAGCAGTGTAATTCAGGAAACCAACAACGTATTGACAGTCGTAATGTTTTCACAATTCTAGAGATAGAAACATTTAGGCATGGCAAAATGACTGTTTACATAACATACATACATGCCTTTATTTTTGAACAATCAGTTATGATACTATTTATCTGAATGACAAATTTGTGAAAACAATAATGATGTAGCAAAGTTGGGTAATGAGAATTGTCCACACTGAGTGCAGGCTATAAAAAAGGTGTATTCTCTGTAGAAAATTTAAAAACAGAAAAACCAACTTTGTCTGCTTAAATTTTCATCATGCTCTGGCAATTTTAAACAATGTTAATGATAAAATACTTTTCCCCAGAAAAATATTTTCTTGGTCCAAGCTCTATACAATCGATGAAGTTACTGTTGAGTTTTATTAATATGTATACGTCAGCTTCAAATTAGCACATTCTCTTTAATAAGAATCCTATCGTCCATAAAGGTAAATTTAGAGAACTTCCAGTTATACCAATACCACCCAACACACACAAACTCAGCTATAGAGTTCCTGTGGAGAGTAAATTAAAAATGGTTTACAACCATTCAAGCTCACTTTGTATGCAGGTTATGTCTTCAGTCCTCTGGTACGACATATCCCTGTGTTTACAGTTTCAAAATAAACAATGACAGTGCAGTGAATGTCTCTACTTTTGGGGTAGTGCTCAGCATGTCTTCTTTATTAATTTCCTATTATTGATGTAACAAATTACCAAAAATTTTGTGACTTAAAACTTAAATATGGCTGCAGTTTTCCCTTCTGCAAGTGTAAAAAATTACTCTATACCTTTTTCCTGCCTCCAAAAGATGTCTTATTGGAATGCTACCACATTCCGAATAAATAGTTGTTTGCACACTATGGTAAGTCTGAATAACATCTTTCAAATAATTCAGAACAAGGACTCAAATCTCAAATTTCCTGCTAACTACAACGCTACAGTCCCCCTTCCTCTACTTTCCAATAATCTGTTCCTTACTTCCTTCTGAGCCCTCACCAGCAGCGTCCTTAAAGTCCTTATTTCTACTGAAAGTCTGTTTAAGGCAATTTGGGCTTTCTCTATCATGCTCCTCAAAATTCTTCCAGCCTCAATTCAGTACCTGATTTCAAAGCCCCCTTTCACATTTTAGTCATTTGTTACAGTGGCACTCCACTCCAAGTACCAAAGTCTGTGGTCGTTTTCTATTGCTCTGTAACAAATTGACATGTAATTAGTGGCTTAAGACAACACCCATTTATTATCGCACAGTCCTATGGGTCAGGAGTCCAGGTACAGTTTAACTGAGTCCTCTGTTCAGGATCTCACAGGGCTGAAGTCATGGTATCAATCTCATCTGAGGCTTGAGGTCTTCTACAAGCTCACTGGTTGTTGGCAGAATTCAATTACTTGCAACTTAAGAGTGAAATCCTGTTTTCTTGCTGTCGGACAGGGAACAATCTCAGGTCCTAGAAAGCCACTCTCATGTCCTTACCACAAAGTACCCTCCTCTCACAACATGGCTGTTTGCTTCCTCAAGGCCAACATGAGAACATCTGCTGTGGCCACTTGTCTAAGAGCTCACTTGATTAGGCAAGATCCACTCAGGATAATCTCCCCTTTGATTAACTCAAAATAAAATGATCAGTAACTTAATCACAGGAATAAAATTTCTTCATATTCACAAGTCATGCCCACACTGAAACAGATGGGAATTATAAAGGACATGTATGCCAAGTGGTGGTTACCTTAAGTCCATCTTAAGAATTGCTTACCGCACCAGAGCACCATTCTGCCCGCTCCTTTACCTCTAACTTTGGATACTGCCTTGAATTCCTGTTCCCTTATAGGGCAGCCACAGTATTCTTTGTATTTCCCTCCCTTTCCCCAGATTTCATCAACCAGTCTTTGGACAGATGCCTCTTGCTTTAAAGTACTCTGACTTTCAACTGCATGTTTCTTATTCTCTAAAACCAATCAGAGAGAAGTCATTAAGCACATTTTCTTACTGGTGAGCTACCTGGAAAAGGCCATCAGGGGCACAATTGTATGTGGCCAATAATCTTTATTCTTCCTCAGCCTGAGGCAATGTATATGAATGCACTTTTGTTAATATTTAATAAGATATGAACTAGAAAAAGTTAATACAGTAAAAGTTCTTAATAACAAAGTCTGTCTAGTATGAAGTATTTAACATTCTCTTACCCCTTTTAAAAATGACATTTTTATAAAACGAAGACTGTAACAAATGTTTTAAATATTTCTAAGAATTTGCCAAAGACAATTCATGGAGAAACCTATTTGCTTTGTGCACAATTGTTGCTGCTAGATGTATGCATCTACAGTTCAGCTCTTGCCTAGGGCATAACTTGTCAATTAGTTTTAATTTTATTTTTTCCCTGTGTCCACTGGAATAAAAAAAGCCTCATTTTCCCCTTCTCTGCTTTGGTAAATCCTTTCTTGCATCATCATGCTGTGGTTAGCCTTGTATTTACTGTATGTACTATAAACATTGTGGTTTCTTCTAACCAGTTTCAGCAGTCAAGTTCAGTGTGTCTATGAGGTAATGAATAAACTTTTATATACATGTGGAGATAACTGAAGCACGTACTCTGAAAAGCCATTAGACGGTGGCTGGCAAGATGGCCAAATAAGAACAGCTCCGGTCTGCAGCTCTAAGCGAGATCAACACAGAAGGCAGGTGATTTCTGCATTTCCAACTGAGGTACCCAGCTCATCTCATTGGGACTGGTTAGACAGTGGGTGCAGCCCACGGTGGGCAAACTGAAGCAAGGTGGGGCGTTGCCTCACCTGGGAAGGGAAAGGGATGGGGAACTCCCTCCCCTAGCCAAGGGAAGCCATGAGGGACTGTGCCCTGAGGACACTCAGGCCAAGATACTATGCTTTTCACATGGTCTTCGCAACCTGCAGACCAGGAGAGTCCCTATGGTGCCTATGCTACCAGGGACCTGGTTTCAAGCACAAAACTGGAATACCTTTTGGGCAGATACCAAGCTAGCTGCAGGAATATTTTTTCAAACCCCAGTGGCACCTGGAACGCCAGTGAGACAAAACCGTTCACTCCCCTGGAAAGGAGGCTGAAGCCAGGGAGCCAAGTGGTCTAGCTCAGCAGAACCCACCCCCACGGAGCCCAGAAAGCTAAGATCCACTGGCTTGATTTCTTGCAACCAGCACAGCAGTCTGAAGTCCACTTGGGACTCTCAAGCTTGGTGGGGGGAGGGGCATCTGCCATTACTGAGGCTTCAGTAGGTGGTTTTCCCCTCACAGTGTAAACAAAGCCTCCCAGAAGTTTGAACTGGGTGGATCCCACCGAAGCTGAGCAAAGCCACTGTAACCAGACTGCCTCTCTAGATTCCTCCTCTCGGGGCAGGGCATCTCTGAGAGAAAGGCAGCAGCCCCAGTCAGGGGCTTATAGATAAAACTCCCATCTCCCTGGGACAGAGCACCTGGGGGAAGGGGCGACTGTGGGTGCAGCTTCAACAGGCTTAAACGTTCCTGCCTGCCAGCTCTGGAGAGCAGTGGATCTCCCAGCACAGCGCTGGGGCTCTGCTAAGAAACAGACTGCCTCAAGTGGGTCCCTGACCCCTGTGTGTCCTGACTGGGAGACACCTCCCAGCAGGGGTCGACGGACACTTCATACAGGAGAGCTCCGGCTGGCATCCGGCGGGGGCCCCCTGGGATGAAGCTTCTAGAAGAAGGAAGAGGCAGCAATCTATGCTGTTCTGCAGCCTCTGCTGGTGATACCCAGGCAGATAGAGTCTGGAGTGGACTTCCAGCAAACTACAGCAGACCTGCAGGAGAGGGGGCTGACTGTTAGAAGGAAAACTAAAAAACAGAAAGGGATAGCATCAACATCAACAAAAAGGACGTCTAGACAGAAACCTCATCCAAAGCTCACCAACATCAAAGAGCAAAGGTAGATAAATGCACGAAGAGGAGAAAAAAACAGCACAAAAAGGCTGAAAATTTCAAAAACCAGAATGCCTCTTCTCCTTCAAAGGACCACAACTCCTCGCCACCAAGGGAACAAAACTAGGTGGAGAATGAGTTTGACAAACTGACAGAAGTACGCTTCAGAGGGTGGGTAATAAGAAACTCCTCTGAGCTAAAGAAGCATGTTCTAACCCAGTTCAAGGAAGCTAAGAATCTTGAAAAAAGGTTAGAAGAATGGCTAACTAGAATAACCAGTTTAGGGAAGAACATAAATGACCTGATGGAGCTAAAAAACACAGCATGAGAACTTCGTGAAGCATACACAAGGATCAATAGTCAAATCGATCAAGCATAAGAAAGGCTATCAGAGAATGAAGATCAATGTAATGAAATACAGTGTGAAGACAAGATGAGAGAAAAAAGAATGAAAAGAAGTAAACAAAGCCTCCAAGAAATATGGGATTATGTGAAAAGACCAAACCTATGATTGATTGGTGTACCTGAAAGTGACGGGGAAAATGGCACCAAGTTGGAAAACATTCTTCAGGGTATTATCCAGAAGAACTTTCCCAAAATAGCAAGAGAGGTCAACAATCAAATTCAGGAAATACAGAGAACACCACTAAGATACTCCTCGAGAAGAGCAACTCCAAGACACATAATCGTCAGGTTCACCAAGGTTGAAATGAAGGAAAAAATGTGAAGGGCAGCCAGAGAGAAAGGTCGGGTTACCCACGAAGGGAAACCCATCAGATTAACACCGGATCTCTATGCAGAAATGCTACAAGCCAGAAGAGAGTGGAGGGTAATATTCAACATTCTTAAAAGAATTTTCAACCCAGAATTTCATATCCAGCCAAACTAAGCTTCATAAGCGAAGAAGAAATGAAATCTTCTACAGTCAAGCAAATGCTGAGAGATTTTGTCACCACCAGGCCTGCCTTACAAGAGCTCCTGAAGGAAGCACTAAACAAGGAAAGGATCAACCGGTACTAGTCACTGCAAAAACATACCAAATTGTAAAGACCATCAACACTATGAAGAAACTGCATCAACTAACAGGCAAAATAACCAGCTAATATCATAATGACAGAATCAAATTCACACATTAAAAATATGAACCTTAAATGTAAATGGGCTAAATGCCCCAATTAAAAGACAAAGACTGGCAAATTGGATAGAGTCAAGACCCATCAGTGTACTGTATTCAGGAGACCCATCTCACGTGCAAGGACACACATAGGCTCAAAATAAAGGGATGGAGAAATATTTACCAAGCAAATGGAAAGCAGAAGAAAGCAGGGGTTCCAATCCTAGTCTCTGATAAAACAGACTTTAAACCAACAAAGACCAAAAGAGACAAAGAAGGGTATTACATAATGGTAAAGGGATCAATGCAACAAAAAGAACTAGCTATCCTAAATAGATATGCACCCAATAAGGAGCACCCAGATTCATGAAGCAAATTCATAGAGAACTACAAAGAGACTTAGACTCCCACACAATAATAGTGGTAGACTAACAGCCCACTGTCAATATTAGAAAGATAAATGAGACAGAAAATTAACAAGGATATTCACGGCTTGAATGCAGCTCTGGAACAAGCAGACCTAGTAGACATCTACAGAACTCTCCACCACAAATCAACAGAATATATATTCTTCTCAGAACCACATCACACTTATTCTAAAATTGACCACATAATTGGAAGTAAAAACTCCTCAACAAATGCAAAAGAATGGAAATCATAACAAACAGTCTCTCAGACCACAGTGCAATCAAATTAGAAAGTAGGATTAAGAAACTTACTCAAAACTGCACAATTACATGGAAACTGAACAACCTGCTATTGAATGCCTACTGGGAAAATAACGAAAAGAAGGCAGAAATAAAGATGTTCTATGAAACCAATGAGAAAAAAGACACAACATACCAGAATCCCTGGGACACAGCCAAAACAGTATTTAGAGGGAAATTTATAGCACTAAATGCCCACAAGAAAAAGCAGGATATATCTAAAATCGACACCCTAACATCACAATTAAAAGAACTAGAGAAGCAAGAGAAACAAATTCAAAAGTTAACTAAAGATAAGAAATAACTAAGATCAGAGCAGAACTGAAGGTGACAGAGACACAAAAACCCCTTCAAAAAATCAATGAATCCAGGAGCTGTTTTTTGAAAAGATCAAAAAAATAGATAGACTGCTAGCCAGGCTAATAAAGAAGAAAAGAGAATCAAATAGACACAATGAAAAATGATAAAGGGGATATCACCACTGATCCCACAGAAATACAAACTACCATCAGAGAATACTAAAAAGACCTCTATGCAAATAAACTAGAAAACTTAGAAGAAATGGATAAGTTCCTGGACCCATACACCCTCCCAAGTCTAAACCAGGAAGAAGTCGAATCCCTGAATAGACCAATAACAAGGTCTGAAATTGAGGCAGTAATTAATAGCCTACCAACCAAAAAAAAAGTCAAGGACCAGACGGATTCACAGCCAGATTCTACAAGAGGTACAAGGAAGAGCTGGTACCATTCCTTCTGAAACTATTCCAATCAATAGAAAAAGAGGGACTCCTCCCTAACTCATTTTATGAGGCCAACATCATCCTGATACCAAAGCCTGGCAGAGACACAACAAAAAAAAGATAATTTTAGGCCAATATTCCTGAAGAACATCAATAGGAAAATCCTCAATAAAATACTGGCACACCGAATACAGCAGCACATCAAAAAGCTTATCCACCACGATCAAGTCAGCTTCATCCTGTGGTTGCAAGGCTGGTTCAACATATGCAAATCAATAAACATAATCCATCACATAAACAGAACCAATGACAAAAAACACATGATTATCTCATTAGATGCAGAAAAGGCCTTCCATAAAATTCAACACCCCTTCATGCTAAAAACTCTCAATAAACTAGGTATTGATGGAACGTATCTCAAAATAATGAGCTATTTATGATAATCCGACAGCCAATATCATACTGAATGGGCAAAAGCTGGAAGCATCCCCTTTGGAAATCGGCACAAGACCAGGATGCCCTCTCTCACCATTCCTATTCAATGTAGTATTGGAAGTTCTGGTCAGGGCAATCAGCCAAGAGAAAGAAATAAAACGTTTTCAAATAGGAAGAGAGGAAGTCAAATTGTCTCTGTTTGCAGATGACATGATTGTATATTTAGAAAACCCCATCGTCTCAGCCCAAAATCTCCTTAAGCTGATAAGCAACTTCAGCAAAGTCTCAGGATATAAAATCAATGTGCAAAAATCACCAATAAACCAAAAATAGACAAACAGAGCCAAATCATGAGTGAACTCCCATTCATAATTGCTACAAAGAGAATAAAATACCTAGGAATACAACTTACAAGGGATGTGAAGGACCTCTTCAAGGAAAACTACAAACCACTGCTCTAGGAAATAAGAGAGGACACAAACAGATGGAAAAACATTCCATGCTCATGGAGAGAAAAAAATCAATATAGTGAAAATGGCCATACTGCCCAAAGTAATTTATAGATATAATGCTATCCCCATCAAGCTACCATTGACTTTCTTCACAGAATCCCCGTCTCTACTAAAAATACAAAAAATTAGCTGGGCATGGTGGCACGCACCTGTAGTCCCAGCTACTTGGGAGGCTGAGGCAGGAGAATCACTTGAACCCAGGAGGCCAAGGTTGCAGTGAGCCAAGATTGTGCCACTACACTCCAGCCTGGGAGTCAGAGTAAGACTCCATCTCCAAAAAAAAAAAAAAGGGGGTAGCTACTCTGTCTGGTTTTCCCTTTTTTTTTTTTTTTTTTTTGCTAGCTTTCAGGTAACATTCTGGCTACCAAAAGAAAAGCAAATACTGAAGCATGTCCAGTCTCTTGCTCTTCTAATATGAACTGGGCTGCATTCACTAGTTTGACAGGTTCAGGTTGCTGCTATTTATCAAATATTTTGTCATATATAGCAAAGAAATCAGGGAGTTATAGTCACTCAGAGATTAAGAGTCAATTCTTATGTAAGGACTTCTAATCCCAACACCAGGTATAACTTAACAAGTTTAGAGAACTTCACTACAGGAAACAGTGAGAAGCAGTAAGAAACAGGAGTAAATTATCTTATATAAGACATGGTGATGAGATTACATATTTGAAAAAAATTTCAAGTGTCAAATACCTTTTTAAAGTCAGTCACAGATATAGATAATAAGAACCAAAAGAAATTTATTTACAAATTTCTTACTTGACCAGTAGTGTCAGCCAAGAAACAGTATACCAGGAAAAATCAACTAACACCCCACTAACAGTCTTTAGACCAGTTCATACAAGGGAATGACCAGAGCAGCTCCTGACTGTTAGACTAGAAAGATGTCCTTCTGCGTATCCTTCAATTGTACAAGAATTTACATTTAACCAAAGGGGTCTGTGCAAGTAGCACCGTGGTACTTGTAGTCTCAATTGAGTCATAGCTTCTAGAGTGCTGTTCCCTGTATACCTTACATAGCTTTTTCACCACTTTTGTTGATTTCTTTGTCAGCTTCTTTCCCTTTTTCTCCTCCTTTGTCAGTTTTGTCTTCTCTGTTGATTCCTTCCTCTTTTTCTTCTCCACTATCAGCTCCTTTCTCTCCTCCATTCTTGGTGTTCTCTTCTTCTCCACTGTCAGCTCTTTTTTCTCCTCCATTGTTGACTCCTTTCTCTCCTTCTTTGTCCTGAACACTGATATAAACAGCTTTGTTATAGCCTTCCCGGTTCCGAGCAATTTCAATGGCAAAGAATTGTATCCTGGGGGCTGAAAAGTGAACAGAATTGATTATCATCCTACTCTCAGCTTATTCCCTAAATCTCTTTTTTTTGAGACAGGGTCTCACTCTGATGACCAGGGCTGGACTGCAGTGGCACAATCACAGCTTACTGCAGCCTCAATTTCCCTGGTTCAAGCAATCCTCCTGCCTCAATCTCCTGAATAGCTGGAACTACAAACACTCACCACTATACCTGGCTAATTTTTTAAACATTTTTGTAGAGATGGGGTCTCCCTATGTTGCCCAGGCTGGTCTCAAAATCCTCAGCTCAAGTGATCCTCCCATGTCAGCCTCCCAAAGTGCTGGTATTACAAGGCATGAGACACTGTGCCTGGCCTGTTCCCTAAATATGCTGGAAATCTACTGACAAAATTGAAATAACATGCAAACCATTCCAGTATAGTCATAAACTTCAGAGATCTTTAATTCCAATCTCATATTAATGAGATTGAAAATACTTAACTATCTTCAAGTTACATAAAAATAGCAACAAGATCTTTAAAGATGAAACAAGATAAGGTGACCTAACTATACACATCACTGATTCATCAGTAAAGCCAGACTGTTCAGTCTCCTTACACAGAAACAATTCCAGAGGGAAGAAACTCACCAAAGATGGTGTTTTCCTCAGTGTAGCCCTGAGAACAATCTAGTCGCAGCAAAGTACCATAGTTGAAGTCTTCAACAATCCCATTAAACTTCAAGCAGAATGGCCTCCACTTCTATAAAGGCAAAAACGATGCTTTAGCTGACAAATGCAAGAGGCTGACGTACTAAGGCCAGGAGAGGGACTTCCATTTTCCCAGTAAGGAAAATAATCATAGTGAGACTGGGATTGAGGTGATTGTTGGTTTCACAGTGAAACTAGCAATGCGTTTCTGTGCTACCTATTGTGTCTTTAGACTGCCATTTCCCAAGATGAACAATATTTTACTCTGAAAAATATATAAATCCTTTACTGCAGAATTAAAATATTATTTCTTAAGTCAATTGTTTTGTTTTGAAGTTATTGGTCAGTTCAGCCCAAAATGGTCATCTATCCCCACTAAAACACAAATGATTTTAATAAAGAAGTCCATTCAGTAGTGACAGTTTTCCAAAGACAAAGATCACTAACTGCCTGCTAGGAGTTAAAAGTGTAGTTTCTTGGCTGGGTGTGGTGGCTCACGCCTGCAATCCCAGCACTTTGAAAGACCGAGGCGGGCGGATCGCTTGAGCTCAGGAGTTTAAGACCAGCCTGGTCAACATGGTGAAACCCTGTCTCTACCAAAAATACAAAATATTAGCTGGGCATGGTAGCATGCACCTGCAGTCCCACCTACTAGGGAGGCTGAAGCAGGAGGACTGTTTGAGCTTGAGAGGCGGAGGTTGCAGTGAGCTGAGATGGCACCACCGCACTCCAGCCTGGGCAACAGAGTGAGACCCTGTATCAAAAAAAAAAAACCAAAAAACAAAAAACAAAACAAAACAAACAAACAAACAAAAACTTTAGATTCTTCATTAGCCAAGGGTTTACTCTCAAGGAAAACATTTTTTTCCTAACTGTAAATGTGTTAGTTTCCTATCAAAGTATAGGATAATCACATAAGCAATGAAAAACAAAAGTTTTCCAGTTACCCATGGCCTGTAATCACATGAACTTAAATCCAGAGAATCAAAACACCTTCCTATACCCTATTTGCCACTCCCCATCCAAGCCTTCTGGCTATACTACCTAAATAAACTGATCCATCCTCCTCTGAAAGGGCTGATGGGTGGAGATTTAAAATGTCCAAGACAAAAAGGAGAAAAAAATAGACTCAACAACATGAAAAGTCCATAAACTGGAAAAACATTCATTTCCTAACTTAGTTGATTACAACTAGAAAAGAAGTTCTGGTTCTTTACATATTTTTCTCAAACAAAAAAAGAGCTTAAATGTAAAAAAACATTCGCAATCAAAAATTGTTGGTTAAATGCTAAGTAATATTTAAGAAAGAGAATTTTTACCTCTTTGGCTGATTCTGACTTGAGTTCTTCTGGGTCCAACACATCTATCCTAAGGGTCTCAAAATTTTTCCGGAACTCAGAGTAAATTTGGTCATCTACTTTGGTGAGTTTCAGGAACTGTGGGTCAACTGATGAAATCAGCTGCGAAACAGTAAGACAACATACAGATGCTAGTCTGTAATTTACTATACTTCTATCTTCCCCATCCCCACCAGAAAACCTTTATGGTTCTCAGGGCAGAAGATCTCTTCAGGAAGTGTCGACAGTCTACATCCTAGATGAAATCATGACACAGTTTAAGGCCATAATATATTATTACAATCCCTTCCACCAATTTGGCAGTTGGCTTACTTAACCACAGTACTGCCTGGCTATTGCCCTCCGTGGATTGTTCATTCATTCAACAAACATTTATTAAGTGCCTACTATGTATGGGCCAGACGCCCTTTTGTCAGTTAGCATTATAACGCTGGGCAAAGCAGCAGAACTCATTGTAGAAACAAATTTGCCTTCGCTCCTCTGTTGTCTGTGGGTAAGAACTTACATTAATAAAAACGATCTCCAAAACACAACTGTTTAACTTGCTGAGAATAGTGATAAGCAGAGCATCATACACTATAATTACATGTTTAATTCTGCTTAATGATGAAGAAAGACAACTCACCTTGTAATAGACTTCAGCATGCTGCATTGCTCTCATGGCCCAAGCCATCTCAATGTCAGGCTGCAAAGGAGTGAAGAATGCCAGGTCATAAATCTCCCCATCCTACTACTGAATAGCAAATTAAGGAAGTATGTGGATGTCTAGTTAATGCTCAAGAGGGCTACCAAACTTGATGTTACTGTCAAATGATAAAAACTGGAGTAATAAATTTGGACAATAATTATTTTGTCTGTATGACAACCAAAAAAAGCTACCTACACAGTATAATGAACACAATGAGCCACCGGCTATCTTTTCCCAGCTGCTAGTGAAAGCTGGGAGACTAAATAAAGCAGGAGATAAATCACCTTCTCAGGATTGAGTTAAATCATTGTAAAACTGAAATAATATACCCATCAATTCCACTGAGTTGTTGGGAGAACAAAGAATCAAAATGAAAATTACTTTTCACTTTTAAGACTGAAGCATGTCATAATCATTTTTGTTTACCAAACAGCCAATTCCCCATACTGTAACACCTAGAAATGAATTAGCACATGAAACAGGTCAAGGTTATAATAAGTCTTACCAAGCACCCCACTGGAGGTTCCACTGGAATCTCCCATTCCAACGAGACCGAGCTATTTCACTGACTCCAGAAAAAGCCATTTGCATTTGTTACCTCCATGCCTTAGACCATGCACTTTTCCCACGTGCCAATCCATGTCCTTTGTCCACCTACACTTTGAGGATACAGGTAAAGCTCCATTTCCTCAGTCAAGTCTTCCACTGCCTTGGCCCCTTAGGGATTTCTCCTTCAGCTAAATTATTTGGATCTTATGGCCTGACCCACTCATTATATGTATCACACTCTTATTTGGGTGTTTTTACTATTCTCACATCCTCTTGTCTTGTTTTGGAAAATACCTCATATACTTTCTCAGTAATTTTCTAAACCAGACACACCATAAGCTGCACAATGGAATCCCTCAGAGACCCTTTAAAAATACTGATTCTTGGCTCTCATTACCCAGACATTCTGATTTAGGTGGTATGAACTGCAATCTAGGCAGCGGGATGTTTAAAAGCTCCCCAGTAATTCTAAAGCGTGGCCAACTTGGGGAACCACTTCCACAGGCGTTAGTCCTGCGTTTGTGGACCAAGATTAAAACGAACTGAACGAAGGTGCAGTTTCTGGTGTAAGTGGAGAGGGTCTGCAGTAGATTATCAGGACGTGAAGTTATAACTTAGTGGCAGGCAGGTCCTGCAGAGATCCCAGGCTAGCTGAGTGGGTGGGAGCTGTGGGTGAGTCATACTCACATCGTTGCCATACGACTCTGCTGGGAGAGAAAGCGCATGTGCCACAGACACCAACTCCCCGGAAACCTAGAAAGGAGGAAAAAGAGTTCAAGGCTCCCCCCAAGGCCGGGCGCGGTGGCTCCCCCCAAGGCCAGTCGCAGTGACTCGTGCCTGTAATCCCAGCACTTTGGGAGGCCGAGGCGGGCGGATCGCCTGAGCCCAGGAGTTTGAGACCAGCCTGGGCAACATGGCGAAACCCCGTCTCTACAAAAAATACAAAAAATGTAGCTGGGCGTGGTGGCACGGGCCTGTAGTCCCAGCTCCTCGGGAGGATGAGGTGGGCGGAAGATCTGAGCGCTGGAGGTCGAGGCTGCAGTAAGCGGTGATCCCACCACTGCACTCCAGCCTGGGCGACTGAGTGACACCTTGTCTCAAAAAAGAAAAAAAAAAGGCTCCACCTGGCTCGACCTCCCCACTCACCCGACCCCAGAACAGCGTCTCACCGGCTCATCAGTTCCACTGGTGGCCGCCATCTTGCAACCCCCGAAAGCGTGGCTCCTTCCGCAGCTGATTGGAAAGCTGAGCC
Organism: Homo sapiens; assembly: GCF_000001405.40. Taxonomy (NCBI): domain Eukaryota; kingdom Metazoa; phylum Chordata; class Mammalia; order Primates; family Hominidae; genus Homo; species Homo sapiens. Next base: position 76,173,085 of record NC_000023.11, on the reverse strand, counting down.
GGATCAGAGTCCTTCTCAACTGGCGGCTCCACCGTGCGCTCTCCCTCCAGCTGAGGAAGTTGCTGGCCCCGCCTTACCCTCCCCGCACAGGCGCAGAGGTGGAGTACTGTTGCGTAGGCTGGACTGCTTGAGAGATCTGAGGTGATTGACTCGTCAGTAATTTTCGGTGGTGATCACGGGAAAAGGTTGTGTTAAAATAGTGCCCCTTTCTTGTCTTCACTGCGCCGTGTGCCCAGCAAAAATTCAAATTTACTCTCCATTCATATGCGCATATACGCACATGCGCATACACATACACACCAGTACCCCAAACCAGGGAGTGATTCACGAAAATGCATGGTGCTAGGGCGCAGAGTGCAGGAATGAAGAATTTAGTCCCTGCCTTGGAACAACTAGATATAGTGAGGGACCGGATACAGTAGTGCTCACAGCATAGCATCGGATGATGTGGGAGCATGAATGGGGGATACCTAAGCTGAATCATGAAGGGGAGCTTAGCCAAGCAGACAGGGAAAGACAGTCCAGGCAGAGGGAATAGCACAAACAAAGCCATTAGTGGCACCTTGCTGGGAATTACAAAAGCAGTATAGCTGAATCCAAAGTGGAGTCATCTATAATCATTTGAGGGAGCACAGGGCCTTTGGTATGCTGAATGTTAAAGAGTAGAGAGTTTACCCTTAGAGCAACAGTAAGCTACTGAAGATTTTTAAGTAGGCCAGCTTCATGGTCAGATTTAACTTTTATGATCACTCTAACACAACATAGAAGATTAATTTGAGGAAGACAAAATTGGAGACAGAGACACCAGTTTGAAGGCAGTGGGTGATGAAAATCTAAACTAAAGCAGTGGCAGTTGAGATGAATTTTGAGAATTAATGGGGCTTAGAATCAATAGAACTTTTTGACTAATTTCATGTAGAGGATAAAGGGGAATTTGGATTCTAGTATGACTCCCAGATTTCAGAATAGGATTTGGGCATAAATATCGTTGAGCAAGGGAACACAGAGGAGAAATGATGAGTTTAATTTGAGAAGTTAAGTTATAAGAGCCTATGGGTCATTCAGATAGAATTGACCAGGCAGAGGGAGATCTGATCAGAGATAAATTTGATAGTTGGTACTTCAGGTTTAGTTGAGCTTTCATAAGAAATCTCTAAAGTACTGTAAAGACATAAAAAGCAGCAGGTCAAGCATTTATGAAGGAAAAAAGGCAGCAAAAAAAAAAAGTTGTCGATTGTCTGTCAAAGAACAAGGCAGAGCCTCACAGAAACCAAAGGATGTAAGAGCTTCTAGAAATAAGTGGTGAGCAGACCCCAGTACTCTCAGTTGAGTATACTAAGCATAAAAATATAGGGAGGTTGACAACCTTAGCAAGAGCAGGTTTAGTGGAATGGTCATTGACAACCTGAACAAGGGCAGAAGTCAGATGGTAGTGGGTTGAAGAGGGAGTGGGAGATAAAGAAGAGATGTTAGTGATCATGGAAAGTTCTTCCAAAACAGGTGCAGCTAGAAAGAAACATGAGGTCTAGGGACTTTAAAAAAAAAATCGGGGTAAAGATCAGATAATATAAAAATTTACCATTTTAATCATTTTTAAGTGTACACTTAGGTAGTGTTAAGTATATTTACATTGTTGTGTGACAGATCTCCAGAACTTTTTCATCTTGCAAAACTGAAACTCTGTATGCATTAAAGAACGATTCTCCACTTTCCTCTCCTTTTGGCCCCTGGTAGCCACCATTCTATTTTCTGTTTCTATGAATTTAACTATGTTAGACACTGCTTATAACTGGAGTTATACAGTATTTTTCTTTTGGGGACTGAATAATGTCCTCAACTTTCATCCACGTTGTAGCATATGACCGGATTTCCTACATTTTTAAAGCTGAATAATATTCCATTAACGCCGGGTGCGGTGACTCATGCCTGTAATACTAACACTTTGGGAGGCTGAAGTAGGCGGATCACTTGAGATCAGGAGTATGAAACCAGCCTGGCTAACACGGTGAAAGCCTGTCTGTACTAAAAATACAAAAAAATTAGCCAGGCATGGTGGCGGGTGCCTGTAATCCCAGCTACTTGGGAGGTTGAGACAGGATAATTGCTTGAACCTGGAAGGCAGAGGTTGCACTGAGCCGAGATCGCGCCACTGCACTCCAGCCTGGGCAACAGAGTGAGATTCTGTCTCAAAAAAAAAAAAAATCCGTTGTATGTAAATACAACATCTTGTTTATCCATTTATTCATCGATAAACACTTGGGTTGCTTTCACCTTCTGGCTATTGTGAATAATGCTGCTATGAACATGAGTGTACAAATATCACTGTGAGAACTTGCTTTCATTTTTTTGGATATTTACCCAGAATTGGGATCACTGGATCATATAATTAATCATATGGTTAATGGGTCTTATTTTTAATGTTTTAGGAAACCCAGGCACTTCAAAAATTATTTTCAGTTTAGAGAAACTTAAGAGTACAGAGTAACTGGCCTTATGCAAAATACCGTCCTGGAGGATGTGCTAGCTCTATCTCCAGAGAAACTTCATGAATGAAGAGAGATAGCAAAAGTAGGAAATTGTGGTGTTCCCTCCAGACACCTTCTGTTTTCTCCATAAAGTGTAAGAGGGCAGCTCAGCACAAGAGGGAATATGTTAAAGTCTTGTCTTTAACAAGTTGCTTGCTCTGAATAGCAACTCAGGGGAGTGGAAGAACCAATCAAACAGGGAGATGGAGGGAAGTTTTTAGGGAACTACTAAAGCTGGAGGACATGGTTTTTCAAAGGCAGCAGTCTCCATGTAATACAGAACTCTGAATGTAAGATAAATCATCCACATGTATGCCGAATGTTAGTAAATGCAGGGGCATTACCAGGAGGTCAGTAGAGTAGCATAGAGGTATAGACTCAAGTTGATGGCCAAATTGGTTCATAATAAATAGACAAGAATAAATCCAAGAGACCCAACTGGTCTTTTACTTGAGGAAGCATTTGAGTAATTTGCTTTATCTAATATTTTGAGGAAATTCATTGCCTTTAAATTTATTTATTTATTTATTTATTTATTTATTTATTTATTTATTTATTTTTGAGACAGTCTCACTTTGTCATCCAGGCTGGAGTGCAGTGGCACGATCTCAGCTCACTGCAACCTCTGCCTCCCAGGTTCAAGTGATTATCCTGCCTCAGCCTCCCGAATAGGTGGGATTACAGGTGCGCACCACCTGTAATAGCTGGGCTATTTTTTTTTTTTATTTTTAGTAGAGACGAGGTTTCACCATGTTGACCAGGCTGGTCTCGAACTCTTGACCTCAAATGATCCACCCACCTCGGCCTCCCAAAGTGCTGGGATAACAAGTGTGAGCCACCACGCCTAGCCTGCCTTTCAATTTAAAAACCCATTAAAATGTGTAATATGTGAATACTTTGTTTTTTAGGGTTATTTTTTATTGTTTTAAATAAGGTAACTAGGCTGGATGTGGTGGCTCAAACCAGTAACCTCGGCAGTTTCGGAGGCTGAGGCAGGCGGTTTGCTTGACTCCAGAAGATTGAGACAAGTCTGGGCAATATGGTGAAACTCCATTTCTACAAAAGAAAAGTTTTAAATTAGCCTGGAGTGTTGGCACATACCTGTAGTCTCAGCTATTAGGGAGGCTGAGGCAGGAGGGTTGCTCGAGGCTGGGAGGCCAAGGCTAGCTACAGTGAGCCACGACCGTGCCACTACACTCTAACCTGGGTGACAGATCAAGATTCTACCTCAAATAAATACATAGATACATATATACATACATAACTATAAAATAAGATAAATACTCACTACTCAACCACTCAGACTTAGATACTTGTAGAGACCAGGAATTGACTCCTCCCAATATTGCAAAAGCCAACTGCTTCTGTATCACAAAACAGCAGGAGATAAAACTGTCACCTGGAGCTTTTCATATTGCCAGGCAAGGAAACCAGCCTAGGCAAAGTTATCAGAATATGTGTTTGCCTTTACCTTATTTCGGATAGACTCAAAATAGTTGGCTGTTAAAACAAAGGAGAGAGGAATCAGTCAAGAACAAAAGGCAGGAAATAAAAAGGGAGGGTTGGTGGACTTTAAGAGCTATATCAGGCCAGGCACAGTGGCTCAGGCTTGTAATCCCAGCACTTTGGGAGGCCGAGGCAGGTGGATCACGAGATCAATAGATTGAGACCATCCTGGCCAACATGGTGAAAGCCCATCTCTACTAATAATAAAAAAAATTAGCCGGGCGTGGTGGCACACACCTGTAGTCCCAGCTACTCAGGAGGCTGTGGCAGGAGAATCGCTTGATCCGGGAAGGTGGAGGTTGCAGTGAGCCAAGATCGCACCACTGCACTCCAGCCTGGTGACAGAGCGAGACTCCGTCTCCAAAAATAAAAATAAAAAATAAAAATAAAAAAAAAAACTACATCAAGAAAAGACCTTTTGGTGTTGAGTAAGAAAACTGGGGATGGAAATCCACTGGTATGATTTCCTCTATTTTTTTGGAAGGACTCCAATGAGTTGTTCTTTAGCTTCCTAGACGGGTAATGGGAATATGCCATCAGTGGAACCAAAAGGCATCACTAATCCTGATTAAAAGGCTAAGGCATCTATAACACAAGGTATCCAAGGAGTGTGGAGAAGGTAAAAATTATAATTGGTAGGAGACAGGGTAGAGGAAGGCAGTGAGTTATCAAACATGAGTTTGTCAGTAGCAAGGTAGTTAGATGAGTACTGCTATTTGCAGTTGGTTAAACCATGTACATACTACCTAAGAAAATGGATTACATGGTCTTGGTGGCTGTCAGACTATATGAGAAAGGCAATTTGAAAAATGTCGAAGCTGGTCATTAAAAGCTGGGAGGACAAATAGGGCTACAGTGAGAAATCATGTAAGTTAGTTTGCTATAAAAATATAAAATCTGGATAATAAAGGTGTTTCTTGTGACAGGTGTGGTTCATGATAATTACAGGAGATGACTCATATCCTCGTATAAGGCTGCTTAATGTGAAAGCAGGATGTTAAAGAGGACATCTCTATTAATCATGTTAACAGGATATGTTCTATGGTCAGGAGAAAGTGCAACGGTGACCTCGGGATGCCTTCCCAGATTAAGTCTTGTCCCAGACACCTTGTAGTAATACAGCTTCAAGATATATAAAGCAAAAATTGAAAAAAGTACAAGCAGAAATAAGCAAAGTCATTAAAAGATATATTTTAACACGTCTCTCAGCAATTGATAGCTCAAACAGCCAATAATTTAATAAGAATTTAGAAGTTTCAAACAACATAATAAAAATACTTGATTTCATGAGTACACAGCCCTAAACCCAACAATTATATACTATGCATTATTTTCAAGCATCCATGAAACAGTTGTAATAATTACATTACAATATGTGGTGAAGTATGTCTCAAAAAGTAACAAAGAGTTAATACCAGGTATGGCTTCTAGCCTAAATTGATGTATGAACTAGGTATAAACTAGCCATACCTGGGATAATGAGCTCAATGAGTTACTGAACATGAATTGAGTAGCAAAATAGGCCATGTAGACACTCTTCAGGGACATGATTCTTATGGTCTGTTTGGCTATTAGACTACAGACAGGAAAGCAAACTTGGTTGGCTTAGAAACCTGTTACCAAAAGCTGGAAGCAAAAAAAAAAAAAAAAAAAAAAACCCTGGGGCTGTAGTCAGAAATATTGTGATAGAGTATTCCATGAGAGGAGAAAACCTGGTTAACAAAATGTAATGGGGAGCAAGTAAAATAAGTTGTTTGTGCCATCTTGCTGAAACTGTTACATGTGAGAATGGTGATCCTGTCCCCGGACTGTTTTGTGGTCAGGAGTAAGTACAATAGTTCTTTGAGATGCCATTCTGGCCAACCTGACACAGTTGTTACAGGAGATGACACAATGTATTGCATCCCTTATGACATGAGGACTCACAAATCCCTGAAGATCTTGTTGTCTTGAGGTGCAGTGGCCATCATGACACGGATGCCATCAATGTCCCTCCCTTTTACATTCACTAGTCTCCATAAACCCCTCTCGGCATTTTGTCATATCCAGAATTTCTTCTCCATCCTTTCTCTTTGTCATTAACAGTAACTTTAGTGCTCCAAAGGGTACTGTAGTAAGATAGTGCTGCCAGGCTGGCCATGAACTACAGGTACTGCTATATTGTAGCTGGTAAACAGATTTGCTTCTCAGGAAGGGAAACTCAAGAAAAACCATCCAGTATCCATAATACCATCTAGTGATAAACTTAGACCTTGAAATCAAGTCCTAATTCTTTTACATACCATTTTAGAACAGGGTCTCATTTAAAAGAATTAAATGAGCACAAAAATACCTAACTGTGGCATTATTCTGAAATCATTCATGTAGTGTGGAACATAATCTAATTAGGAGAGTGGCTCAATTAATGGAAGTTATGCTCTATAGTATAAATGTTTTTGTCCCCTCCAAAACTGACTTTGAAACTTCATCCCCAGAGCAACAGTATTGGGAGTTGTGGCCTTTGGGAGGTGATTGGGGTAGAGCCCTCATGAATGGGATCAGGCAATCTTATAAAAGGGCCTGAAGAGGAAGTTCACCCCTTGTTGCCTTGTCTGTTCCCTTTGCCATGCGACAGACAACACAGAGTTCCTACCCTCAAGAGGATGCAACAACAAAGTATCATTCATAGAAGCAGAGAGGCCAAGCCCTCACCAGCTGGTGCCATGATCCTGGATTTCCAAACCTCCAGAACTGTGATAAATAAACGTCTACTGTCTATAAATTACCTAGTCTGTAGTATTTTGTTAAAGCAGCACAAATGAACTAAGATACTATGATTTTATTTACTGTAATAAGCAGCTGCATGCAGAAACTATGGGCTGCTCCCTCATGCTATCTGCAGCACAACTGAAAAAAAAAAAAAAAAGCCCTGCATGATCCTTGAACACTGTACCAAGGACCATAAGATATTTCAGGCTTCTTGGAGAGCAGAAAGATTTGATGACACATTGAAAGCAGCAATGTCTTATAAATAAATGGAACCTGAAGAATATGAGATGGGCCCAATCAACAGAACTCACAGATAAATTCTACTATCCCTGGGGAAACTGGGAAGCAAAGTTGTCCCTTCAACCTTGTGCATACTTAGGGAGCATGTAGGTTTTGTGCAAGCAGGTTTTGAGGGTACAAAAATTTTATACTTTGAGAAACCGGCAAGAGAGGCCAGTGAGTCAGAGTAGAAAGTATCCTAGAAGGAAGGGCTTCCTTCCTTCCATGGAGATATTTATCTTTCACATCTCACTTACGCTGTCCCTGGTGTTGTAGGAGATTATGTCACAATCAACAGACCAGGCCTCAAAGAGACCTGAGATTGATAAGAGAGGGCTCCCATTATACAGCTGGATGTAATTTCGCCATCCTATCTAAGATGTATTAATATCTTAGTGTAGAGACCATGGTTCATTTTGCAGAGCATTTTAGGGTAGCACAAGAGATGGTATCCACTTTCAGTGTGATACCATCGCTTTACCCTTAGTGGGGCTTGCATTTCATTTAGTTTACATGTTATCTCCTTTGTGTGTTCCTTATTTCTATATATATACTTTAAGTTCTGGGGTACATGTGCAGAACATGAAGGTTTGTTACATAGTTATACGCGTGCCATGGTGGTTTGCTGCACCCATCAACCCATCACATACATTAGGGATTTCTCCTAATGCTCTCTCTCCCCTAGCTCCCTACCCCCCAACAGGCCCCAGTGTGTGATGTTCCCCTCCCTGTGTCCATGTGTACTCATTGTTCAACTCCCATTGATGAGTGAAAACATGCGGTGTTTGGTTTTCTGTTCTTGTGTTAGTTTGCTGAGAATGATGGCTTCCAGCTTCATCCATGTCCCTGCAAAGGACATACACTCATCCTTTTTTATGGCTGCATAGTATTCCATGGTGTATATGTGCCACATTTTCTTTATCCAGTCTATCATTGATGAGCATTTGGGTTGGTTCCAAGTCTTGACTATTGTGAACAGTGCCACAATAAACATACATGTGCATGTGTCTTTATAGTACACTGATTTATAATCCTTTGGGTATATACCCAGTAATGGTATTGCTGGGTCAAATGGTATTTCTAGTTCTAGATCCTTGAGAAATCACCACACTGTCTTCCAGAATGGTTGAACTAATTTACACTCCCACCAACATTGGAAAAGTGTTCCTATTTCTCCACATTCTCTCCAGCATCTGTTGTTTCCTGACTTTTTAATGATTGGCATTCTAACTGGCATGAGATGGTATCTCATTGTGGTTTTGATTTGCATTCCTTTAATGACCAGTGATGATTAACTTTTTTTCATATGTTTTTTGGCTGCATAAATGTCTTCTTTTGAGAAGTGTCTGTTCATATCCTTTGCCCACTTTTTGATAAGGTTGTTTGGTTTTTTTTTTTTTGGTTTTTGGGTTTTTTTGTAAATTTGTTTAAGTTCTTTGTAGATTCTGGATATAAGACCCTTGTTAGATGGATAGATCGCAAAAATTTTCTCCCATTCTGTAGGTTGCCTGTTCACTCTGATGATAATTTCTTTTGCTGTGCAGAAGCTCTTTAATTTAATTAGATCCCATTTGTTAATTTTTACTTTTGTTGCCATTGCTTTTGGTGTTTTAGTCATGAAGTCTATGCCCATACCTATGTCCTAAGTGATATTGCCTAGGTTTTCTTCTAGGGTTTTTATGGTTTTAGGTCTTACATTTAAGTCTTTAAATCATTTGAGTTAATTTTTGTATAACGTGTAAGGAAAGGATCCAGTTTCAGCTTTCTGCGTATGGCTAGCCAGTTTTCCCAACACCATTTATTAAGTAGGGAATCCTTTCCCCGTTGCTTGTTTTGTCAGATTTGTCAAAGATCAGATGGCTGTACACATGTGGAGTTATTTCTGAGGCCTCTGTTCTGTTCCATTGGTCTATATATCTGTTTTGGTAGCAGTACCATGCTGTTTTGGTTAATGTAGCCTTATGGTATAGTTTGAAGTTAGGTAATGTGATGCCTCCAGCTTTGTTGTTTTTGCTTAGGATTGTCTTGGCTATACGGACTCTTTTTTGGTCCCATATGAAATTGAAAGTAGTTTTTTCCAATTCTGTGAAGACAGTCAATGGTAGCTTGATGGGCATAGCATTGAATCTATGAATTACTTTGGGCAATATGGCCATTTTGACGATATTGATTCTTCCTAGCCATGAGCATGGAATATTTTTACATTTGTTTGTGTCCTCTCTTATTTCCTTGAGCAGTGGTTTTTAGTTATCCTTATAAAGGTCCCTCACATTCATTGTGAGCTGTTTTCCTAGGTATTGTGTTCTCATTGTAGCAATTGTGAATTGGAGTTTACTCATGATTTGGCTCTCTGTTGATCTGCTATATTGGTGTATAGGAATGCTTGTGATTTTTGTACATGGATTTTGTATCCTGCCACTTTGCTGAAGTTGCTTATCAGCTTAAGGAGATTTTGGGCTGAGATGATGGGGTTTTCTAAATATACATTCATGGCATCTGCAAACAGGGACAATTTGACTTCCTCTTTTCCTAATCGAATACCCTTTATTTCTTTCTCTTGCCTAATTGCCCTGGCCAGAACTTCCAATACTATGTTGAATAGAATTGTTAAGAGAGGGCATCCTTATCTTGTGCTGCTTTTCAACAGGAATGTTTCCAGTTTTTGCCCATTCAGTATGATATTGGCTGTGGGTTTATCATAAATAGCTCTTATTATTTTGAGATATCTTCCATTAATACCTAGTTTATTGAAAGCTTTTAGCATGAAGGGCTGTTGAATTTTATGGAAGGCCTTTTCTGCATCTATTGAGATAATCATGTGGTTTTTGTCATTGGTTCTGTTTATGTGATGGATTACGTTTATTGATTTGCATATGTTGAACCAGCCTTGCAACCCCCGGGATGAAGTCAACTTGATCGTGTTGGATAAGCTTTTTGATGTGCTGCTGGATTCGGTTTGCCAGTACTTTATTGAGGATTTTTGCATCGATGTTCATCAGGGATATTGGCCTGAAATTTTCTTTTTTTGTTGTGTCTCTGCCAGGTTTTGGTATTGGGATGATGCTGGCCTCATAAAATGAGTTAGGGAGGATTCCCTCTTTTTCTATTGTTTGGAATATTTTCAGAAGGAATGGTACCAGCTCTTCTTTGTACCTCTGGTAGAATCTGGCTGTGAATCCGTCTGGTCCTGGACATTTTATGGTTATTAATTGCTACCTCAATTTCAGACCTTGTTATTGGTCTCTTCAGGGTTTCAACTTCTTCCTGGTTTAGTCATGGGAGAGTGTATGTTTCGAGGAACTTATCCATTTCTTCTAGATTTTCTAGTTTATTTGCATAGAAGTGTTTATAGTATTCTCTGATGGTAGTTTGTATTTCTGTGGGATTAGTGGTGATATCCCCTTTATAATTTTTATTGCATCTATTTGATTATTCTCTCTTTTTTTCTTTATTAGTCTGGCTAGTGGTCTATTTTTTTGGTCTTTTCAAAAAAACAGCTCCTGGATTCATTGATTTTTTGAAGGTTTTTTTGTGTCTCTATCTCCTTCACTTCTTTGACCTTAGTTATTTCTTAACTTCTGCTAGCTTTTGAATTTTTTGCTCCTGCTTCTCCAGTTCTTTTAAATGTGATGTTAGGGTGTTGATTTTAGATCTTTCCTGCTTGCTTTTATGGGCATTTAGTGCTATAAATTTCTCTCTAAACACTGTTTTAGCTGTGTCCCAGAGATTCTGGTACATTGTGTCTTTGTTCTCACTGTTTTCAATGAACATCTTTACTTCTGCCTTCATTTTGCTATTTACCCAGTAGTCATTCAGGAGCAAGTTGTTTAGTTTCCATGTAGTTGTGTGGTTTTGAGTGAGTTTCTTAATCCTACCTTCTAGTTTGATTGCACTGTGGTCTGAGAGACTGTTTGTTATGATTTCCGTTCTTTTGCATTTGCTGAGGGGTGTTTTACTTCCATTTATATGGTCAATGTTAGAATAAGTGCACGGTGGTGCTGAGAAGATGTATATTCTGTTGATTTGGGGTGGAGAGTTCTGTAGATGTATATTAGGTCTGCTTGGTCCAGAGGTGAGTTGAAGTCCTGGGTATTCTTGTTAATATTCTGTCTCATTGATCTTTCTAATATTGACATTGAGGTATTAAAGACTACCACTATTATTGTGTGGGAGTCTAAGTCTCTTTGTAGGTCTCTATGAACTTGCTTTATGAATCTGGGTGCTCCTGTATTGGGTGCATATATATTTAAGATAGTTAGCTCTTTTTATTGTATTGATCCCTTTACCATTATGTAATGCCCATCTTTGTCTTTTTTGGTCATTGTTGGTTTAAAGTCTGTTTTATCAGAGACTAGGATTGCAACCCCTGCTTTCCTTTTTGCTCTCCATTTGCTTGGTAAATATTCCTCCCTTCCTTTATTTTGAGCCTATGTGTATCTTTGCACGTGAGATGCATCTCCTGAATACAGCACACTGATGCTGTATTCTTGACTCTTTATCCAATTTGCCAGTCTGTGTCTTTTAATTAGGGCATTCAGCCCATTTACATTTAAGGTCAATATTGTTATGTGTAAATTTGATCCTGTCATTGTGATCCTAGCTGGTTATTTTGCCCACTAGTTGATGCAGTTTCTTCATAGTGTCGATAGTCGTTACAATTTGGTATGTTTTTGTAGTGACTGGTACCGGTTGATCCTTTCCATGTTTAGTGCTTTCTTCAGGAGCTCTTGTAAGGCAGGCCAGGTGGTGACAAAATCTCTCAGCATTTGCTTGTCTGTAAAGGATTTTATTTCTCCTTCACTTATGAAGCTTAGTTTGGCTGGACATGAAATTCTGGGTTGTAAATTCTTTTCTTTAAGAATGTTGAATATTGGCCCCCACTCTCTTCTGGCTTGTAGGGTTTCTGCCAAGAGATCCACTGTTAGTCTTATGGGTTTCCCTTTGGGGGTAGCCCAACCTTTCTTTCTGGCTGCCCTTAGTAGTATTTTATTCCTTCATTTCAACCTTGGTGAACCTGACAATTACGTGTCTTGGGGTTGCTCTTCTTGAAGACTATCTTTGTGGTGTTCTCTGTATTTCCTGAATTTGATTGTTGGCCTGCCTTGCTAGGTTGGGGAAGTTCTCCTGGATAATATCCTGAGGAGTGTTTTCCAACTTGGTTTCATTCTTCCTGTCATTTTCAGGTACACTAATCAAACACAAACTTGGTCTTTTCACATAGTCCCATGTTTCTTGAGGGCTTTGTTTCTTTTCACTCTTCTTCCTCTAATCTTGTCTTCTCACTTTATTTCTTTGAGTTGATCTTCAATCTCTGCTATCTTTCCTTCTGCTTGATCGAATCAGCTGTTGATTCTTGTGTATGCTTCACAAAGCTCTTGTGCTGTGTTTTTCAACTCCATCAGGTCATTTATATTCTTCTCTAAACTGGTTATTGTGGTTAGCAATTCGTCTATCCTTTTTAAAGGTTCTTAGCTTCCTTGCATTGGGTTAGAGCATGCTCCTTTAGCTCGGAGGAGTTTGTTATTAACTACCTTCTGAAGCCTACTTCTATTAATTTATCAAACTCATTCTCCATCCAGTTTTGTTCCCTTGCTGGAGAGGAGCTGTGATCCTTTGGAGGAGAAGAGGCGTTCTGGTTTTTGGAATTTTCAGCCTTTTTATTCTGATTTCTCCCCATCTTTGTGGATTTATGTACCTTTGGTCTTTGAAGTCAGTGACCTTCTGCTGGGGTCTCTGAATTGATGTCCTTTTCGTTTATGATGATACTATTCCTTTCTCTTTATTAGTTTTCCTTCTGACAGTCAGGCCCCTCTGCTGCAGGTCTGCTGGAGTTTGCTGGAGGTCCACTCCAGACCCTGTTTGCCTGGTTATCACCAGCGGAGGCTGCAGAACAGCAAAGATTGCTGTCTGTTCCTTCCTCTGTAAGCTTCTTCCTAGAGGGACACCTGCCAGATGCCAGCCAGAGCTCTCCTGTTTGAGGTGGTGCTCCTACTGTGAGGTGCCTCCTAGTCAGGATACATGGGGGTCAGGGACCCACTTGAGGAGGTAGTCTGTCCCTTATCAGAGCTCGAACACTGTGCTGGGAAATCCGCTGCTCTCTTCAGAGCTGCCAGGTAGGGACGTTTAAGTCTGCTGAAGCTGTGCCCCCAACCGCCCCTTCCCCCAGGTGCTCTGTCTCAGGGAGGTGGGTGTTTTATCTATAAGTCCCTGAATGGGGCTGCTGCCTTGTTTTCAGAGATGCCCTGCCCAGAGAGGAGGGAATCTGGAGAGGCAGTCTGGCTGCAGTGGCCTTGCTGAGTGAGGTGTGGTGGGCTCTGCCCAGATGGAATTTCTAGGCGGCTTTGTTTACACTGTGAGGGTGAAACCATCTACTCAGGCGTCAGCAATGGCAGACGCCCTTCCCCCCACCAAGCTGGAGCATCCCAGGTCGAGCTCAGACTGCTGTGGTAGCAGCGAGAATTTCAAGCCAGTGGATCTTAGCTTGCTGGGTTCCGTGGGGGTAGGACCCACCGAGCCAGACCACTTGGATCCCTGGCTTCAGCCCCCTTTCCAGGGGAGTGAACGGTTCTGTCTTGCTGGCGTTCCAGGTGCCACTGGGGTATGAAAAACTTCTGCGGCTAGCTCAGTGTCTGCCCAAATGGCCGCCCAGTTTTGTGCTGGAAACCCAGGGCCTTGGTGGTGTGGGCACCAGAGTGAATCTCCTGGTCTGTGGGTTGCCAAGACTGTGGGAAAAGCACAGTATCTGGGCCTAAGTGCAAAGTACAGTCCCTAATGACTTCCCTTGGCTAGGAGAGGGAGCTCCCGGACCCCTTGCGCTTCCCTGGTGAGGCAACACCCCACTCTGCTTTGGCTCACCCTCCTTGGGCTGCACCCACTGTTCAACCAGTCCCAGTGAGATGAACTGGGTACCTTAGTGGGAAATGTAAAAATCACCCACCTTCTGCATTGATCTCGCTGGGAGCTGCAGACTGGAGGTGTTCTTATTTGGCCATCTTGCCAGCCAGGGCTCCAGTGTTCCTTATTTCTTACATACGCTATATACCCCATGAAATTTGTCATTTAATCCCCCATATTTGTTGATCGCCTACTCAGAGCTATGTCCATATGTGTCTAAGACCTAGACATGTAGTGATGAAAAATGCACAGTACCCTCTTATAATGCACTCATCCTAGTGAGATATATTGTTATACTAAAACTGACCATTACCAAAAAAAAAAAAAAGACAGTAGTAATTATAATGATAGTGATTCCAAGGAATAGCACAGTGGCTGACACATATTAGAGGAGTGCCATGACTTTTTGTTGCATGAATGGATTAATGACAATACATTCAAAGCATTACTGGAAGACAAAGACATGAAAACTATCCTGTGACCATGCTGGAAGGCGCTTGACTCCTGAAGTGAATACATCTTAAGGTTAAGGTTAAAATCTCCTGACACATTAAGTTCCCATGAAAACCTTAGCAATTGCCACTTTTGATTGAATGTCTTCCATAGGTAAGGGTACAGAAATAATTATTGTTAACTGCTGAGTATGGATCACATAAGACTCAGACTGTCCCATACCAGTCTGTGTTAGTATATGAGTATGTGTGTGCACATATGTACATATGCATGTGCATGAATGCATTTAAGAAAAAGAGTGGGTCGGGTGTGGTGGTTCATGCCTGTAATCCCAGCAGTTTGGGAGGCCAGGATGGGTGGATCGCTTGAGCTCAGGAGTTCGAGACCAGCCTGGGCAACAGGGCAAAACTCCGTCTCTACTAACAATACAAAAAATTAGCTGGGCGTGGTGGTTCCAGCTACGTGGGAGGCTGAGGCGGGAGGATCACCTGAGCCTGGGAGGTGGAGGTTGCAGTGAACCAAGATCATGCCACTGCACTTCAGCCTGGGTGACAGAGTGAGACCCAATCTCAAAAAAAAAAAAAAAAAAAAAAAGAGAGAGAGAGAGAGAAAAGAAAAAGAAAAAGAGTGACACCTCTCCAACTATACCAGGGGCAGTACAAATGATCTGGAATCAGGATAGATTTAAATTCACCTCCTCCTTGGAAGTTACCAACCTTACTCTCATAGTTTCAGGGCCATGATGGTTTGTGGTTAAAGTTATGTCATCTTTTATTTCGGAGGTAACTGAGTTTTATTATCTATGTGAACTTAGGCAAGTCTCTTAAATGCAGAGTCTTGGCTTCTTCACTTTGAAAGTGAAGATTACAGACACATTTGACTTATGTGCTTATTTCAATGATGGAATTATATAAGACATGAATGTATGAGCTCTTAGCACAGGGACTAGAATACAGCAAATGCTCAGTAAATTATAGATTATTCAGAATGCCATGGACTTTCCAGACATAGCTCAGGTTTAAGCTCTAAGATTATTTTCTGCAAAGGTTATTTTGCTCCACATCTGCTAAGGGAGATACCTAGGTTGAGCATGGGGGAGAAATAGGCATATGTTAGCCCTAGTACTTGTGGGTCCAGCTGCAACTCCTTGATACTGTGGTGAGTTGGGGCTATCACACTGGATGTGCACTGACCTCAGACATGCCCATCTCTTTGCAGTGCATCATAGGCTTTCCCCAAGGGAAGTTCTGAAAGCCCCACTCAGAAAGCACAACACCAGGATGTTATAGACAAGACTTTGAACTTTAGAGGCAGGTAGCTCTGGATTTTAAAGAGGAAAATGAACTGAGCCCATGCTTTTTCTCTATATATCGTCCCTGTTTTCTCCTTCCCTTCATTGGCTTTGTTTACTCTGTCTCAATGCTTCCTTTCTTCCTTCTTTCTTGTTTTACTTTCTTATAGTCACAGAGCAATTTTTCATAGAAACATAAAACATTTTTAAATACTATTAACACTTGGTAATTCAAGCCCCATCTTTAAATTTTCTCAGCTAGAAATGTAGAAAAGTTTCTGCCTCCGTTGTGCTTTTTTTCTAACTAATCAGAACAATTTGGTCATTTAGGAATTGGACTAATTTTTCACTCAGAATTGTCTGAAACTTTTCTCACACCCATAATTCAGATCTCCTTTGTCATTCCATTCCATTCTCAGGTAAGGATATGGCACTGTATGTCAGAATATAACATCAAGCCTTCCTCTGTCTAAGCCTGGTGATAACATTGGTGGCCATCACACCCTGGCTGGGGCTACTAAGCATATTGCTGCAGAGCTCACTAGGTGAGCAGCCAGAGGAGAGATAGGAATGAGAGTAGTGATGAGCTTTTCCTGCTAACTTGGTATTTACTCTGTTCTGATTCAGACACATCTACAGGATAATTCAGGGCTCTGGACCAAGGAATAACCAGACATCTCTAAGAATGGCTCCTTGGTGCTGGTGGCACAAGAGTAACCTTTGTTTTGACCACCGGCCCACCAGTTGCACTGACCAACTGCTTTCAGATGGAGTTATTTAGGCTGTGCCAAGTGACTTGCACTGTTTCTGAACTCATAAATATAACTTGCAGCCCTCACTGGATTCATATTTGATCCCATGGGAGCTGGGCAAAGGAGACACACCTGAGAAGGCAATGTAGTCCTCTCTTCAAAATCACCACTTTCCTCAAATAGCCACAGTGTTACGTAGTTGGCCAAGCTGAGCTTCCCGGATATTACTTCCTAAGGATGTCATTTTCTAGTACCCTTTTTAGTCCCCAAATCAAAGAGTTATCTGATAGAAAAGAAATAGTATCTCACCATGATTAAAATTTTTATTACCTGATTAACTTTGATATTAAGTATCTTTTTCTGTGAAAGATGGGTGGGCGAAAGAAAACAGGAAAGTCATTTATGATAGTAACCACACATACCCAACAATACCTGAAATGTAGCAAGTGACACCATTTAATATCATCATAGTAGCATGCATACAACATTATTTTACTCCCATAGAAAAGAGTCAATTGGGAAGTAAACTAAAGAACTAAGAGTCATTATACATTGGTTGTAGAATTATGGCAACTTTTTCATTTATTGTGAAAACCTTCCCCTACTTTCCAAGTTTTCTCAAGTAAGGATTTCAAGTGCATATGGTGGGTTAAATATAACAACAAAATCTGGAATGAAGGGCTGGCATTACTGGTGAGAAAAGATTGAGTAAGCTGGCTCCAGAAGCATTGCCTGAGGGCATTCACTGAGGTAAAAGGAAGCAAGGGAAGCTTTCTGGGCCTTAACACTGAAATGCAGATAATTATTTATGATCTTTAATCTATCTTTACCCCAAGGCCACCTGGTGCACCTGTACACTGATGAAATCCTATAATGTGTATACAAGAAGGCTGCATTTCTAAGGGGTTACTTGTTGGAAAATTTTTACTTGACAAGGGCGGTTTTCAAGTGGTTCTATAAATGAGCCCAATAGGCAGGATTTTTCTTTCCTTTTATTTTTTCTTTCTTTATTTTATTTTATTTTACATTAAGTTCTGGGATACCTGTGCAGAACATGCAGGTTTGTGATATGGTATACATGTGCCATGGTGGTTTGCTGCACCCATCAACCCCTTGTCTAGGTGTTAAGCCCCGCATGCATTAGGTATTTGTCCTAATGCTCTCCCTCCCCTTGTCCCCCACCCCCGACAGGCCCTGGTGCATGATATTCCACTCGCTGTGTCCATGTGTTCTCATTGTTCAACTCCCACTTATGAGTGAGAACATGCGGTGTTTGGTTTTCTGTTCCTGTGTTAGTTTGCTGAGAATGATGGCTTCCAGCTTCATCCATGTTCCTGCAAAGGACATGAACCCATTCTTTTTTATGGCTGCATAGTATTCCATAGCATGTATGTGCCACATTTTCTTTATCCAGTCTATCATTGATGGGCATTTGGGTTGGTTCCAAGTCTTTGCTATTGTGAACAGTGCCGCAATAAACAAACGTGTGCATGTGTCTTTATAGTAGAATGATTTATAATCCTTTGGGTGTATACTCAGTAATGGGATGCCTGTGTCAAATGGTATTTCTGGTTCTAGATCCTTGAGGAATTGCCACATTGTCTTCCACAATGGTTAAACTAATGTACACTCCCATCAACAGTGGAAAAGCGTTCCTATTTCTCCATAGCCTCACCAGCATGTGTTGCTTCTTGACTTTTTAATGATCGCCATTCTAAGTGGCGTGAGATAATATCTCATTGTGGTTTGATTTGCATTTCTCTAATGACCAGTGGTGATGAGCTTTTTTTCATATGTTCGTTGGCTGCATAAATGTCTTCTTTTGAGAAGTGTCTGTTCATATCCTTTTCCCACTTTTTGATGGAGTTGTTTTTTTCTTTTAAATTTGTTTAAGTTCCTTGTAGATTCTGGATATTAGACCTTTGTCAGATGGATAGATTGCAGAAATTTTCTCCCATTGTGTAGGTTGCCTGTGCACTCTGATGGCAGTTTCTTTTGCTGTGCAGAAGTTGTTTAGTTTAATTATATTCCATTTGTCAATTTTGGCTTTTGTTGCAATTGCTTTTGGCATTTTAGTCATAAAGTATTTGCCCTTGCCTGTGTCCTGAATGGTATTGCCTAGGTATGTTTCTAGGGTTTTTATGGTTTTAACTTTTACCTTTAAGGGTTTAATCCATCTTGAGTTAATTTTTGTGTAAGGTATAAGGAAGGGGTCCAGTTTCTGTTTTCTGCATATGGCTAGCCAGTTTTCCTAGATTTTTGTTCTAAACGCTTTTTATTCCTTTTTATTTTTATTTATTAAATAGGGAATTGTTTCCTCATAGCTTGTTTTTGTCAGGTTTGTCGAAGATCAGATAGTTGTAGACGTGTGGTGTCAATAGGCTGGATTTTTCAAGATAGTGATGTCTTAGAAATGTCACAATGCCCCTGAAAATATAGCCATTGGTATATTTAATACTCCATTTCTAAAACCCAGATTAGGTTGCTGGAGATATTACAAATAGGGAGTAAACAGTCAAAACAGGTTAGTCAGGAGAAAGGGACTGTGAATGTGACCGGGGTAAGGTATCTGAGCTACCACCAGCAGCGAATCCAGACACGGGTCTGCAGCAACCTTAATTCTTGCCTTCTCAGAAGAAAGAATTCCACTGAGAGGCAGAAGGCAGAAAAAGAGACCGAGGCAAGTTTCAGAGCAGGAGTGGAAATTTATTTAAAAAGCGTTTAGAACATAAAAGAAAGTACACTTGGAAGAGGCCCAAGCGGGCATATGAAGCTCAAGTGTGGTGTTTAACCTTGATCCTGGAACTTCATAGACTGGCTCATTTCCCATGATTCTTCCCATGGGTACTGTGCTGCCCCATGCACAGTACCCTCCTTACCCTTGGGAGGTGAGCATGCACAGTGGGTTTAGGAAGTTGTATGGATTCCCGCCTGAGGCTTTCTTCACTTTTCTGGTGAAGTGTCAATAGGAAGGTCATACTCCGTCATTTTGTGTCTTAATTCACATGCTTGAGCTCACTCCCACAATGCTTGAGCTCAGTCCCACAATACTTGATTTTATTGGAAGCTCTTTTTGTTTCTACCTGGCATTCAGTTAACCACGTTAATGTTAACAGCTGTAGATCAGCAGGAGATTATCTCTCCCTGACTCCAGGTGCCAAAGTACCATTTTTAGACAGGCAATGTGATAATTGTTGAACCATCACCCGATCACGTGACATTCCCGGTGGGTGTTGGGGAAAAGGACTCTCCTGCCCCTCTCATGTGTGTCTAACTACATGTAACATGAAAGTGTGTTGGAATCAGATGCAAAGAGAAAAGCAGAGATGAATGGCTACCGGTAGGTAGTTTAACACATTTTTTTTTCCAGCAGGCAATATAAATATGCTAAGATGAAAGGCACTTGTCATCACCAATCTAATGGGCTCAACTGGGACAAGTGATTGCATTTTTCTTCTCAAATGGTGGGCTACATAACAAGAATTTAGCATTAGACAGGTATGCCAGTGTTGCTGCTAGTGGAAAGTGCACCAATATACATGCTACTCCAGGATAAGGTTGGCAGATATGCTTTGGTCAAACACTGGCATGCACAAGGGACGAACAAACAAACGTAGACAGCCGTCATATCTTGCCATCAAGAACAAGATTTAAGAAAAGACCTGTGGCCGTGGTCATGTATGATGTAGCTCAATCACCCCAGAAACAGAAGATGTTATTAAAAGTATAAGCTGATTCCAGTTTGGCTCTGGCAGAGTGAGGGCAGAAGAGAGGACAACATGTTGGAGGGGAAGCCAGAGAGTTAACCAGAGATTAAATCCTGTTGGCTCTTACCGGACAAGGACTGGGCTTTTACTCTGAGTGAGATCAGAAGCCATTGCTGGGCTGGGACCGGAGGAGATACACAGCTCACAAAACACATCAATACAGAGAATTCAAACTTCTGAAAAACATATTGGATGAAGAAATGAAGTCCAAATTAAAATGAGGAAGTCCAGTCAGATGACGAACTTGAACACAAAGAGCAAGCCATTGAGCACTAGTTGGCCACAGATGTGGATTTAAGTTTTCTAGCTGCCAAAATGTAAAGAGGGAAACACGATCCTCTGCAGGACTCAACAGTATCCCTGAGATCGAATCTGACAAACTGCTCAGAAGGGGCACCTATGCTTTTCCCTGAGATGAATGTCTCCCATCGTCAGATGTCAGATTCTGGATCTATTTTGACAAGAGAGCTCAAAGGATTTCTTCACAGATGGAAATGAGGGGTGAGTAAAACAGTGGCGTGAAGGATCACCCTCAAGTCTATAGCATGAACAATTGGAAGGATAAGAGTGGCCTTAACTGTGAGGGGTGGGGCGAGGGGGGACGCTGCAGTGGGAGGAGGTTTCTAGGGGAAGATGGGAGAGTTCGATTTTTGACTTGTTAATTTGGGTTGACTCTCAGGCAATTTTCTCAGCGAATTAGAAAGGAAGGTCAGAGGCTGAATGTGAGGAGTCGGGAGGCAGTGTTGGAGGCTTGCAGAGAGAAAATAAGTTGTGAAATAGAAGGGTGAACGGAGACGAAGGCTTGAGAGAAATGAGTAGTTGGAAGATTTGGACTACAAACCTGGCAGAAAGATGTTTTGGTTTAAATGGATAGGGACCCTGGGTGTTTCCAGATCAGACAATGTTCATTCTTTATGATCCAGCCAGAAAACTGTGGCTTTTGCTAGCCTTTCCCACCTCTGAACACAGGTTTCCCCTTGCTGGTGAGGGTGGCGTGGAGAGATCCGAGTGAGGAAATAAGTTGTCAGTGTTTACGCTTATTTCTTCAGTCATGCTGAAGAGGCGGATAGGCCTAATACATAATAGGATAGAACACAATCCACCCGGACTTCCGCCTTATGCACAACTGCACTTTCAGTTTTGCTCAGAGAGATAGAGCTCACACAATTAGGTAATTGGGCCCAAATCTGAAAGTGAGAAACAGGCCAGAAAGGACACTCAGAGGATGAAAAGGGAAACCAGTAAGCCCCACTGTTTTATACACCGTTGTCATCATGGTTTTAACTTCATGCTGAGACATAGAATTCCTTAAACTATCACAGCCCTGGTCACTTGTGCCAATTCTACAAGGCCTCCAAAACCGCATAGGAGATACTGCACCGTGGGCCCATTCCAAACACTTATTCAGAATTAAAATTCCACTGGCTTTCCATTGATAGCACTAGAGGTCTGTCTGTGACACGCTGCTCCATTACAGCAAAGCAAAGCCCCATAATGACCTAATCCAGAAGGATAAGATCCCAGGACCCATAGAACAAGGAGGCCAGAGGGAAGGCAGGCCACAAAGAAGAAGGAAACCAGACTTCCCCATCCCTCTGGGCTCCTGGGGGG
Organism: Homo sapiens; assembly: GCF_000001405.40. Lineage (NCBI taxonomy): Eukaryota > Metazoa > Chordata > Mammalia > Primates > Hominidae > Homo > Homo sapiens. Next base: position 76,151,259 of record NC_000023.11, on the reverse strand, counting down.
GTCAGTGGAAAAAGGCCTTTAACCTAAGTGCTCAAGGCCCTAACCTAACAGCTTTTGTTTTTCACGCTGGAGCGCTGGCACTTCCTGACCCCGCTTAGTCCTTCTATTAGAATTTTGTACTCTGATGCTAGTTTTCAGAGTATAGGAGCAACTGCAGGGAATGAAGCAGCAGACCTATCAATATTTTGTGGTGATCTAAGTCTCTGTTAATAAGCCTGAGACAAGGCAAAACCAGGAAGAAGCCTTGACCCTTATCAAGGTCATCAAAGCCATACAGGACCCTTCCTAATGTCTTCAACTGTCATTTTTGAAAGAAGCCGAGTCTGACCACCAAGTATAAATGGGTATAACATCCACCGCATTTCTTTGTCATATTGTTACAGGAAAGGGGTCTTGATCCAGACCCCAAGAGAGGGTTCTTGGATCTCGCGCAAGAAATAATTCAGGGCGAGTTCACAGTGCAAAGCAAAAGCAAGTTTATTGAGAAAGCACAGTGGTGAAAGGGCAGCTACTCCATAGACAGAGTAGGACGTTCCCAAAAGTAAGAGGAGGAATGCGTCCACCCTAGGTACAATGCTTGTTATATGAGGAGATGTGCTCTGCTACAAGGGTTTGTGATAGAGGATTAATTTTCTTAATTACTATGTTTTGCAAGAATCAGTGTTGTTATCTTTAAGGCAAAATTAGGAATGCCTTTCTTCTCCAGATATCGGAATATCTGGACACTCCCAAGTCTGGGTCTGTTTAGTAAACGTTATTAATTTGTTCCCTTAACCGTAAACATCTAGAGGCTGGGAATACCTAACTTTCTGGGAATGCAGCCCAGCAAGCCTCAGCTTCATTTTCCTAGCCCTCACTCGGAATGGAGTCGCTCTGGTTCAAACGCCTCTGACAATATCACCCCGTTTTATTTTCTATCACTTACCACTATCTGAAATTAAGTAGATAATTTGTTTACTCTCTGTCCCCACCCACTAGAATGAGAACGCGGCCCTTGCATCCTTACGTGTGTCTGGCATATAAGGGGTGCTCAATGATTATTTGTTTCATGGATGAACAGATTTATGGATGGCTGGGTGGATGACGATCTTAGAAGGGGTTCCAGGGCTAGCTGGCTTTCTGTTTCTCCCACTCAAGCACCCAAGCCCTGACCCACAAAGTAAAGGAACAGGCGAAACTTCTCGCCAAATAGCTTCAAGGCAGAAACTACGCAGCTGGCTTGGGAATTCCGTACAACGCGAACGCGCATGCACAGGCAGGACTGAGCGTGTCCATCTTCGCATTACTCCCGGAGATGACTCTCGGAAACGGTCCGAGGACTAACGTCTTTCTCTTCCTCGCCCTCATTCCTCCCAGTAACGTCCGCTACAAAAGAAACCGTGCACAAAATAAACTCGGGCGGCGGGTAGAAAGGAGACAGCCGAATTCCCTACACCCATGATCAACACGCCCACACCTCCCATCAGGCACGGCGCTCCCGCCTCCCCGAAGAGGCGGTGGAACGTGGTGGTGGGGGGGGTGCTGGGGGAGGGCTGGCGGGGGGAGGGCCGGGGGAAGGAGCGGGGCGGGAACGTCCTTCTGCTACTGCTATGGCTTCCGGGGCAGCACTTCGGCAGACCGCCCGCCTCCCAGTTGCAAATCGACTTCCGGGGCACCCCCACCGGCTGCCCGGTGGGTTCTCTGCTCGAACTTCTGGCGCTTTTCCCTTCCCGTTTATCTTGTTCAGGTCCCTCAGTGGACTGCTCCAGATCTAAAGAGCAGAAATTGGGCCGCAAAGAGAACGTCCTCCCAGACTTTCTCCGTCGCGGTGAAATTATGCCCGTTTGGTGGCAGTATGTATTCACAGATGCGTGCAGCTCTGCTCTTACCCCGCCCTTCGCGTTTAGAAAAAAAGCGCCGTTCCTCAGAGTCAAAACAAAGTTTCTTTCCGCTGTAGAGGCACAGCTTTTAGGGTGGCCTACTAACTCCCGCTTTTTCTTTTCTGAAATCTCTGTGCCAATCTGATGGACAGAAGAGCGACAAAAAATATTTTTAACGTGAGATTCTTTGTTGACTAGCCTGCTTGTAAACTTTCTGACATATGCCTTTTTTTTTTTTTTTTTTTCCATAGGGCTGTGAACCCCTGATATCTGAGAGGTGTCTCAGTCAATTTAGAAAGTTTATTTTGCCAACGTTAAGGACCCGCCCATGACAGCCTCAGGAGGTCCTGACGACACGTGCCCAAGGTGGTCAGGGCACAGCCTGCTTCCATACATTTTAGTGAGACATGAAACATCAATCATTTTATGTAAGATGTAAAGTGGTTCGGTCGGGGAAGGATCTTGTGCTGTGAGAGGATTTGACCTTGGCGTGTGTAATGGTAGATGAGAGCTACAAAATTACAAGTGGCTGAAGACAGTTTACAGGAAATGGTCATAGCTGCCCCTCTCTTTTTTCCCCTCTTAGGAAGTTATTGTTTAGGATCCGAATTCTAATTTGGAGATGCATTCTACAGTGTCTTCTCCATTGCTTTTCCTCCCCAAATTAATCTTGTTGTTTTGTGTGTGCATCTGCGTGAAGAGCTGTACTGTTGTTTTCATAGATACATGAGAGACTGTTTCCTGACCTCCAAAGGGAAAGGGCATTTTGCTCTTCCCAGCAGAAAGGCACCCCTGGGTGACTTGGAGCCCAGTGGGAGTGTCTGGGGGTGTTGACCCCCGTGACAACCAGCAGCCCTACAGGGAACCTACAACAAAATAGTTTTAAAAAGCTCATCCAGGAAATGCCTATTAGAGCTGATCACTTTGCTTTGACCCTCCCATAGGTGCTAGACCTCCAGAGAGAGAAAATGAGACACATAAGGTGGAAATTACTCTGTGGTGACACACTGTGGAGTCCTGCCCACAACCCGGATACTTGGACCCACTCCACTGAAACCTTAGGCCACAGCTAAGTTCCTTCCTTCAAAAAATAAATCTAAGAAAGAGGAAAAACAGGAATGACCTCCTTTCAGGCACTCTGTTGGTTTTATGGCGCCTCTTCTTGCGAATGTTTGTGTAAAATTGACATACTGTGGTCCTTTTCTGCACAATTACGGCAAGGAAAATTCAGATCGCAAAGGTCCACCTGTGAGTATAAAGTTCCTAAGTTCTCTGTGTATGGCTCTGCTTTCTTTTTTGCCTGCATTAAGTCTGCTGTTACATTTCTACTGAGATAAAATCCACCATTTGCATCCATCCATTTCATTTTGTTATTGTTTTTGTAAACCAATGAGTTTGTATTAATATCTCATGACTAGAGTTCTGAAGTAAAAGCTATAGGATTTTTGGTTGTGTGGCAGGGCAGGTCTCACAGCTGAACAGGGAGGCCTCCTTAACAACTGTTTCAGCACTGACTGGTTAAATATTAAAAGCTGAAAGAGCCAGTGCCCTTATACAAAGGCTGGGATTTAACAAAAGCCCACCAAGAATTTTGCCTATGTCCTCCTGGGCCTTGAAGCATGACAAGATAAAGGAATTCTTAACAGGACCCCTTTGGGATTAAACAAGTTTTTATTGGAGGTCTGAAGAAACTCCCCAGACCTCCACAAACAAGTTTTACTGGTGGTCTAAAGGAACTTCTAAAACCTCTATGGATTTACAGCAGACAAGATAAGGGTAATCACCCCAAGCACCTGGACCCATCTAGATTAAGTAAATTTACTGAGGCTCCAGAGGAAGGTCTTCAAAACTGAGAACTTAGTTGTAGATTAAAAGAAGTTAATAACTTATGTCTTTAGATGAATGCAAAGTTATATGTAAACATATAGCTTAAAAGGTATATAAGCTTTGGAAAACTTTGTAATTTTGAGTTGGTCTGACGACAGTCTCTCCACAGGGAGAAGGCCTCGAAAATATTGGCAGACCAAGTAAAAATTACAAAGTTTTCTGAGCTTATATAAACTCTCTTCTTTCCCAGTTCATCTGCATCTCATTACCGGGTAGCAGGAATAAGTAGGCTGACCCTCAGTTTGGACCGGGAACAGCTGTGTAAGTGTGTATGTGTGTGTTTATATGTATGTACACGTATTTTGTTGTGTTTTGGGCCACAAGGTACCACACTGGCTTAACAAGTACTCATAAATTAATTAGCCCAAATGCTTTTCATCTTTATATGACTTAAGTAAAATCTGTCATATGCTTGCTTAAAAATTATTGGTAAACTAATAACAGAAATTTCTTAAAAATTGCCAGCATACATTTTTGCATTTATTAATCAAGCAATTTCATACTTATCAAAATGTGGCACATATACACCATGGAATACCATGCAACCATAAAAAATGATGAGTTCATGTCCTTTGTAGGGACATGGATGAAATTGGAAATCATCATTCTCAGTAAACTATCGCAAGGACAAAAAACCAAACACCGCATGTTCTCACTCATAGATGGGAATTGAACAATGAGAACACATGGACACAGGAAGGGGAACATCACACTCTGGGGACTGTTGTGGGGTGGGGGAAGGGGGGAGGGGGGAGGGACAGCATTAGGAGATATACCTAATGCTAAATGACGAGTTAATGGGTGCAGCACACCAGCATGGCACATGTATACACATATGTAACTAACCTGCACATTGTGCACATGTACCCTGAACCTTTAATAATTAAAAAAAAAATTTGGCATGCGGGTTACAAAACTATAAATCCGGCAAAAACAGAATTTTTGCTTGTATAATTTTTGATAAAAAAATTAATATTGGATTAATGAAAATCGCTAAATATCCAATTATTCAGTAAAATAACCATATATTTAATCTTAAGGCTTTTACTTAGGTAAACACCTGAAATTCACAGGCTATAAAATGGTTGAAAAGGAAATAAAATGACTATCGCAGTTTCATAAATAATCTAGGTAAACTATTAGAAAAAGTAGGTAAATGTAATGAGATAAATGCTTTTAGACAAAACTTGTTATAATTTAGATTCTGAAGTTATAGTAAGATAAGTTATGACATTAACTGGGTATTTTTCAATTTAAAAAATATGGAAAGCTAATCAGAAACTCGAATGCAACCAGTGTGTCTTTATCTACCTATGACCTTCCTAGTCACCTCACCAATTCAAGTTGTCCCACCTTTAGAGACCGAACCAGTATACATCTTACATATTGATGTTTCATGTCTCCCTAAAATGTATGGAAGCAGGCTGTGCCCTGACCACCTTGGGCACGTGTCGTCAGGACCTCCTCAGGCTGTCATGGGCGCGTCCTTAACGTTGGCAAAATAAACTTTCTAAATTGACTGAGACACCTCTCAGATATCAGGGGTTCACAGCCCTATGGAAAAAAAAAAAAAAAAAAAGGCATATGTCAGAAAGTTTACAAGCAGGCTAGTCAACAAAGAATCTCACGTTAAAAATATTTTTTGTCGCTCTTCTGTCCATCAGATTGGCACAGAGATTTCAGAAAAGAAAAAGCGGGAGTTAGTAGGCCACCCTAAAAGCTGTGCCTCTACAGCGGAAAGAAACTTTGTTTTGACTCTGAGGAACGGCGCTTTTTTTCTAAACGCGAAGGGCGGGGTAAGAGCAGAGCTGCACGCATCTGTGAATACATACTGCCACCAAACGGGCATAATTTCACCGCGACGGAGAAAGTCTGGGAGGACGTTCTCTTTGCGGCCCAATTTCTGCTCTTTAGATCTGGAGCAGTCCACTGAGGGACCTGAACAAGATAAACGGGAAGGGAAAAGCGCCAGAAGTTCGAGCAGAGAACCCACCGGGCAGCCGGTGGGGGTGCCCCGGAAGTCGATTTGCAACTGGGAGGCGGGCGGTCTGCCGAAGTGCTGCCCCGGAAGCCATAGCAGTAGCAGAAGGACGTTCCCGCCCCGCTCCTTCCCCCGGCCCTCCCCCCGCCAGCCCTCCCCCAGCACCCCCCCCACCACCACGTTCCACCGCCTCTTCGGGGAGGCGGGAGCGCCGTGCCTGATGGGAGGTGTGGGCGTGTTGATCATGGGTGTAGGGAATTCGGCTGTCTCCTTTCTACCCGCCGCCCGAGTTTATTTTGTGCACGGTTTCTTTTGTAGCGGACGTTACTGGGAGGAATGAGGGCGAGGAAGAGAAAGACGTTAGTCCTCGGACCGTTTCCGAGAGTCATCTCCGGGAGTAATGCGAAGATGGACACGCTCAGTCCTGCCTGTGCATGCGCGTTCGCGTTGTACGGAATTCCCAAGCCAGCTGCGTAGTTTCTGCCTTGAAGCTATTTGGCGAGAAGTTTCGCCTGTTCCTTTACTTTGTGGGTCAGGGCTTGGGTGCTTGAGTGGGAGAAACAGAAAGCCAGCTAGCCCTGGAACCCCTTCTAAGATCGTCATCCACCCAGCCATCCATAAATCTGTTCATCCATGAAACAAATAATCATTGAGCACCCCTTATATGCCAGACACACGTAAGGATGCAAGGGCCGCGTTCTCATTCTAGTGGGTGGGGACAGAGAGTAAACAAATTATCTACTTAATTTCAGATAGTGGTAAGTGATAGAAAATAAAACGGGGTGATATTGTCAGAGGCGTTTGAACCAGAGCGACTCCATTCCGAGTGAGGGCTAGGAAAATGAAGCTGAGGCTTGCTGGGCTGCATTCCCAGAAAGTTAGGTATTCCCAGCCTCTAGATGTTTACGGTTAAGGGAACAAATTAATAACGTTTACTAAACAGACCCAGACTTGGGAGTGTCCAGATATTCCGATATCTGGAGAAGAAAGGCATTCCTAATTTTGCCTTAAAGATAACAACACTGATTCTTGCAAAACATAGTAATTAAGAAAATTAATCCTCTATCACAAACCCTTGTAGCAGAGCACATCTCCTCATATAACAAGCATTGTACCTAGGGTGGACGCATTCCTCCTCTTACTTTTGGGAACGTCCTACTCTGTCTATGGAGTAGCTGCCCTTTCACCACTGTGCTTTCTCAATAAACTTGCTTTTGCTTTGCACTGTGAACTCGCCCTGAATTATTTCTTGCGCGAGATCCAAGAACCCTCTCTTGGGGTCTGGATCAAGACCCCTTTCCTGTAACAATATGACAAAGAAATGCGGTGGATGTTATACCCATTTATACTTGGTGGTCAGACTCGGCTTCTTTCAAAAATGACAGTTGAAGACATTAGGAAGGGTCCTGTATGGCTTTGATGACCTTGATAAGGGTCAAGGCTTCTTCCTGGTTTTGCCTTGTCTCAGGCTTATTAACAGAGACTTAGATCACCACAAAATATTGATAGGTCTGCTGCTTCATTCCCTGCAGTTGCTCCTATACTCTGAAAACTAGCATCAGAGTACAAAATTCTAATAGAAGGACTAAGCGGGGTCAGGAAGTGCCAGCGCTCCAGCGTGAAAAACAAAAGCTGTTAGGTTAGGGCCTTGAGCACTTAGGTTAAAGGCCTTTTTCCACTGACCCCCCCAGGAGCCCAGAGGGATGGGGAAGTCTGGTTTCCTTCTTCTTTGTGGCCTGCCTTCCCTCTGGCCTCCTTGTTCTATGGGTCCTGGGATCTTATCCTTCTGGATTAGGTCATTATGGGGCTTTGCTTTGCTGTAATGGAGCAGCGTGTCACAGACAGACCTCTAGTGCTATCAATGGAAAGCCAGTGGAATTTTAATTCTGAATAAGTGTTTGGAATGGGCCCACGGTGCAGTATCTCCTATGCGGTTTTGGAGGCCTTGTAGAATTGGCACAAGTGACCAGGGCTGTGATAGTTTAAGGAATTCTATGTCTCAGCATGAAGTTAAAACCATGATGACAACGGTGTATAAAACAGTGGGGCTTACTGGTTTCCCTTTTCATCCTCTGAGTGTCCTTTCTGGCCTGTTTCTCACTTTCAGATTTGGGCCCAATTACCTAATTGTGTGAGCTCTATCTCTCTGAGCAAAACTGAAAGTGCAGTTGTGCATAAGGCGGAAGTCCGGGTGGATTGTGTTCTATCCTATTATGTATTAGGCCTATCCGCCTCTTCAGCATGACTGAAGAAATAAGCGTAAACACTGACAACTTATTTCCTCACTCGGATCTCTCCACGCCACCCTCACCAGCAAGGGGAAACCTGTGTTCAGAGGTGGGAAAGGCTAGCAAAAGCCACAGTTTTCTGGCTGGATCATAAAGAATGAACATTGTCTGATCTGGAAACACCCAGGGTCCCTATCCATTTAAACCAAAACATCTTTCTGCCAGGTTTGTAGTCCAAATCTTCCAACTACTCATTTCTCTCAAGCCTTCGTCTCCGTTCACCCTTCTATTTCACAACTTATTTTCTCTCTGCAAGCCTCCAACACTGCCTCCCGACTCCTCACATTCAGCCTCTGACCTTCCTTTCTAATTCGCTGAGAAAATTGCCTGAGAGTCAACCCAAATTAACAAGTCAAAAATCGAACTCTCCCATCTTCCCCTAGAAACCTCCTCCCACTGCAGCGTCCCCCCTCGCCCCACCCCTCACAGTTAAGGCCACTCTTATCCTTCCAATTGTTCATGCTATAGACTTGAGGGTGATCCTTCACGCCACTGTTTTACTCACCCCTCATTTCCATCTGTGAAGAAATCCTTTGAGCTCTCTTGTCAAAATAGATCCAGAATCTGACATCTGACGATGGGAGACATTCATCTCAGGGAAAAGCATAGGTGCCCCTTCTGAGCAGTTTGTCAGATTCGATCTCAGGGATACTGTTGAGTCCTGCAGAGGATCGTGTTTCCCTCTTTACATTTTGGCAGCTAGAAAACTTAAATCCACATCTGTGGCCAACTAGTGCTCAATGGCTTGCTCTTTGTGTTCAAGTTCGTCATCTGACTGGACTTCCTCATTTTAATTTGGACTTCATTTCTTCATCCAATATGTTTTTCAGAAGTTTGAATTCTCTGTATTGATGTGTTTTGTGAGCTGTGTATCTCCTCCGGTCCCAGCCCAGCAATGGCTTCTGATCTCACTCAGAGTAAAAGCCCAGTCCTTGTCCGGTAAGAGCCAACAGGATTTAATCTCTGGTTAACTCTCTGGCTTCCCCTCCAACATGTTGTCCTCTCTTCTGCCCTCACTCTGCCAGAGCCAAACTGGAATCAGCTTATACTTTTAATAACATCTTCTGTTTCTGGGGTGATTGAGCTACATCATACATGACCACGGCCACAGGTCTTTTCTTAAATCTTGTTCTTGATGGCAAGATATGACGGCTGTCTACGTTTGTTTGTTCGTCCCTTGTGCATGCCAGTGTTTGACCAAAGCATATCTGCCAACCTTATCCTGGAGTAGCATGTATATTGGTGCACTTTCCACTAGCAGCAACACTGGCATACCTGTCTAATGCTAAATTCTTGTTATGTAGCCCACCATTTGAGAAGAAAAATGCAATCACTTGTCCCAGTTGAGCCCATTAGATTGGTGATGACAAGTGCCTTCAATCCTAGCACATCCATATTCTCTGCCGGAAAAAGAAGCTGTGAGGTTATCTACTGAGTCTTTTCACAAAAATGATTATCTTTGTTTATTTTCATCTTACATGTCTTGTATTAATGAGAATCTGTGAAACTTTTCTTGCATCTTTCTCTAGCCTGATCAGCTTGACTCAACCCTCTCAATTTTTGCCTTCTTATTTATTTATATCCAGAGCAAGTCCTAGTAGGCACCAACTACTGTATCAAAAACAAAGAGGTCATTTGACTTATAAATACTTTCTTCTCCACCCTTTTACTACCTGGGAAGTGTCTCCTATTCAGTTTAGCAATACGTGTATGTAAATAGTTTTATATCACATCCTGGCTTTAAATCACTTCAGGTATGTTTCTTTCTCATTTTCTGTCCTTTAGCTTTGTTATTCAAGACAAGCCTGATTTATCAGCCTAATCAGTCAAGGTACAGCTTATCTTTGCCTTGCCCTCCATCATCATTAAACTCGTTCTGGAATTTAGCTGCATGTCTCCTGATTCACATGTGGTGTAGATTTCACTTTGTATTGGAATTACCTTGGAATTTTTTTTCTGAAATATGTGGCTCATGAACTTGAAGTACTTGAGCATCTTGCTTTTATTCTAAATTCTTCTTTTAGTTTGGGCGATCCATCTCACACCTTAGCTCTGGGCAAGAACTAATATGCATCTCTCTACAACATTCCAAATTACTACCCAGTTTGCAAAAAGAATAAAAAAGGTGAACTCAGACAAAGGTTTTCTAAGTGACTCAGCAGCAATACTTTGGGGAGGTTTTGTTTTGGACTGAATTTTTATATTCCATCAACATTTATATGCTAAAATCTAATTCTCAGTCTAACGGCATTTGTAGGTGGAGTCTTTGGGAGGTAAATTTAGGTCATGAGGGTGGCATGCTCTCTCTCTTTCAACCATGTGAGTATACAATGAGAAATCAGCACTCTGCAACCTGAAAGAGGATCTTCATCAAAACACTGGTCTTGGACTTCTAGCCTCCAGAACTGTGAGAAATAAATGTCTGTTTCTTATAAACCACCCACTTTGCTTTGTTATAGCAGCCTGAACTGTCTAATACAGGCCTGCAGGTCAATGACCATACATTTGGTCACTGCAGCCTAAAGAAGTTTTAACAGATGAAGAACGAGGTTATACTAAAAAATGTAGGCTGCCTTATTTCAGCCTGTTAAGTTTGCCATCTCCTATGTTCTAGGCATCTGAGTGAAGAGTCTGTCTCAGTATCCTGAGTCCCAGGTCCTAGAAGATGTGTTCCTTCCCCAGGGTATTCCCTATGTGGAAACTGTGATCATTATGTTCTGCTTAGAGGAAAGCTGAGGTGAACATGGGCAAAACCCAGGCCCATGTGTAGAACAGCTCAACTAAAAACTCCAGAGTCTCCCAAGAAGGCCTTTCATAGAAGTCAAGCAGATCAGCAATATGTCAGTAAGTGTTCTATTCATCTAGGCTGGAAAGGTCACACATAGGTTTTATGTGTTGGACACAAAACTAATGGCAGCCACACTAAATAAGATCCACAAGGACATGCTTGTGATATGTATTTCTGGTGAAAGGACTACCTAAGTAGCCTGAGGGATTATTGTATGTCATAACAATGCTGAATATCACTGAGACACAATAATTTGGGATTTTCTATTTGATGTGATTTGACAGGCACTTTTGTATTAACTGTAAAGTGACATGCCTTGCTCTATTCCAGAATTAATGATATTTGAGATGTGGAGATTAATTAAACCCATAAGTTAAACATAAAAGTTTATATTATTGGAATTTTGGAGAGGTCCCTGAAAATGTAATATCTCTCTTATTTCACTCCCATGCAATATTTCAAGACCTCCATCTCTATTCTCCCAATGAAGTCTCAGGAGTATTTATTGAAGTTTCATTAGGGCTTTCACACATACTTAAGAGAGAGATGCATTAGCACTCCCATACATGGTTAAGTAGCTCACTTTGTCAAAACACTCTCATCTGCTACCTGGTGCACCCATCATTTGTACAAATTCAGTTGTATTTCTCCCTAGAGGTCAAACAGTGCAAGGACCGTGCCCTTAAACAGATCCAGGCTTTTGTCCAAAATTTCCTCCAGCTGAAATTCAGATTATCTTCTTCTGGTTTATAGATCTATAACCATCTAATTCCACATAAAACTGATTTTACTCTGAAATTTTTCCTGAACTTTGGTGTGAAATCTGTCCCTTGGTAGCATCTATTTACTGAACCTGCAGTATAGCTATTGGGTCAGGTTTGAAGTCACTCCATTTTCCCCACAACACACCTCTGTTATGGTTTGAATGTGTCCCCAAAATTGTATGTGTTATACCTTAATCTTCAATGTGGCAGTATGGAAAGATAGGGCCTTTAAGAAGTGTTTGGGTTATGAGGGCTTTGCCCTTATGTATGGATCAATCCATTCATGGATTAATGGATTAATGGATCGTCATGGCAGTGGACCTGGTAGCTTTATAAGAAGAGGATGAGAGACCTGAGCAAGCACACTCAGCCCTCTCACCATGTGATGTTTTTCTGGAGTTCCTTATGCCCTTTATTAATGCTACCTCAGGACTCTGCAGAGAGTCCCCACCAGCAAGAAGGCCCTCACCAGATACAGCCCCCAAACTTGGACTTCTCAGCCTCTATAATTGTAGGAGATAAATTCCTTCTCTTTATAAATTATCCAGTTTCAGGCATTCTTTGATAGGCAACAGAAAACAAACTAATACACCCTCTTCCCCATAGGAGCCAAAACCAGGGGCCAAGATGTTGCTGGAGGTCTTCTCTTGGTTACTTATCCCCAGGCCATTCTGCTCTTCCTCATATGACACAGTTCAGAGTTCCCTCATCACCTTAGCTACGGCCCTGAAATAGCTCCAGCCTCATGGTGTCCTCTCTAAAATGTGATGATCGGCTCTGAGCACCATACTCCTTTTTTGCTATGACAGGTAAGAAGCAGAGTGGGCCTATTGGCCACTTTCTTCCTGGATTCTGAATTGCTATTTATGCAGCCCCATCACAAGGCTAACACACACTGGCTCCACTAATTGGGAACTGATTTAGGAAATGTTCATTTAATTGGAAAAACATTTTATGTACCCTGGGAAGGTCACACTTTACCCAGCCTGTTCATTTCTCTGCTCAAATCATTATCATACTGAGCAGAAGAATTTCCAGTACTATTCAGCTTTCATGAATTATAGAATGTTTGAGATGGAAGATGTTTGAGGAAACAGAGATTCAGGGAAATGAATTTGTCTGCCTAAGGTCACCCAGGGAGTTCGTGGCTGAGCATACCCTAGGACTCAGATTCCTTGAAGCCCAGGCCAGACTCTTTGGGGCCTCAAAGAAGTCAGCCCCAGATGACTCTTCTACAGCTCTTATTCAGGGCACACCTTAAGAGTGGAAACAGAAAATCCCTAAAGCTGCCAAATATTTCTGTCTTGACCTGATACCTTCCCCATACCTTGAACGCTACTGCCTGACTTCTTGAGGAGCCAAACCATGAGAGAAACTCAGAGTGCATTAATAAAGGGCTTAAGTAACCATAGGAAAACATAAGCCTGTGCCAGAAATGCTGCCACCAGGAAATTTAAATCTCTGCAGGACTTATGGTACTTGATTGGCTCCATGCTCTGTGGGCTGATGCCAAGCCCAAGAACCAAGGTAACTAATTCTTAGGGAAGTCCAAGTAGACACCAGAAGAGGAAACCAAACCCTCATGGTAAATAAAAATCATTACCAGAATATTGTTTCCTTGACACAGCCTCTGACAGCCATGAGTGGCTCTCCACATCTCTTAAACTGTGACAGGTGGCAGTAACCCAAAAAAGCTCAGACAATGGTCCCAAAAGTAGCATCCCCTTGGGTTTTCATCCATTTTCTGAGTGTGTCAAGTTCCTACTGGACTTAACTTAAATCTACAACTAGGGAAGAGAATGAGTGCCATGAGCAAGAGAACAAGTAGGAAGGGGTAAAGCAGGGAAAAGACATATGGAGGTACAGCTGAGACTAATGTCTTGAGCAAAAAATATTTGTGTTCCCTTCTAGTCCTATTCATGCTTGACCACCCTTCCAAATTCCACCCCAATGAACTTAGAGTCTCAAAAACCGCATAAAAAATTCCAGGTTCAGACACTGAAGCAAGGAAAGGGACAGCCACTTATACAAAATTATAAAGTAAACTAGCAGCAGTATCACAGAAGCCTCCTGACTTCCAGAGCAAAGATCTTTTTACAAACATCCCAGCAAGTAATTTCACTTATTCAAGCTTCCATTTCCTCATCTAGAATGAGGGAATAATAATATTACCTACCCCAAGAATCTGCTGTAATAAACTAATGCCTGGAAAACACTTAGCGAAGTCCCTGACCACTGTAAAAGCTCAATCTATATTAACCATTATTATTATATTGGGTTATCTTCTCCACTTGCCAGAATGCAATGGGCTGCCAGCTGCAACCCTATTGTCACTTCTACATCTAGCCTCCTATCTTGCACATACACTTTGAGTTTCCAACTTCTAGTTTCTTTATTGACATAGAAAGGAAGATACTATCTGTGGGAAGGAATAGAAAAAGGAAAGGTGTTTTGAACTACCTCAGATATCAGTGCTAATAAAGTTTTGAGGGAGATGGCAAATTTTCTGACTGGTATAACTTTTCTGTTGCTGAGCCAGGAATCAAAGTGTGAGAGGGATAAAGCATGTGAAATACTGAAAAGAGTTCTATTATAGTTTGGAGTCTGGCATGCCTGTGTTTGAACCTCAGATGTGCCTCTTATTACATGGCCTTAGGCAAGTCAGTCACTTCAGTTTTCCAAGACAAAGTTTCTTCACTTGTCAAATATGGCTCATAATTTCACATCCTCACAGGATCATTATGAAGAGTTCCAAGGGAGAAATGATGAAGTGTGTGTGTGTGTGTGTGTGTGTGTACACAGACAGATATACGTTCCTCCACATATAGTGAGTATTCAATAATTGGGTACTACATCACTCAATTTAGAATTTATGGGAATGTTTCATATATTCTGGCAATGGGTTCATTCTCAGTCTTACTTTTCAGAGTTACTGCAAGCTTTCCTCCTCTTCTGGATCTTCTTTTGTATATTAGTCAGAAGCCAAGAAAGGCAACATCAAGTACTGCTTATTAAAGACCATTTTAAGCTGGAAACCCATTACTAAAAATCAAAGATATGTGACTATTTTTTCACCAATTGTAATTACAAAAAAATTCACCCAAAAAATTGATAAAATACTGTTAGCAAGGCTATGGGAAATTTTGACACATTGTTGGTGACAGTATAATTTGGCACACATGTTGAAGGCAATTTAGGGCGTCTATCAACTTATGAATGCATAAGGCTCTAACAAAACAAATTAACCTCTGGAAATTTATCCCACAGACATGCCGGTATTTGTATATATTTTAAAAAAATATGTGCCAGGTTGTTTACTGAAGCATTGTTTGTAAGAGCAAAACCTTAATGTCTATCATCAGAGCAACACATTAAATAAATTATGGTACAACCATACAATGAAGCTACAAAAAATAACAAGGAAGTGTTCAATGTACTGACATGGAAAGACCAGTGAGATATATTTTAAGTGACTTAAAAAGTGTATATTGTGCCTAGTGCTGTGGCTCACTCCTGTAATCCCAGTATTTTGGGAGGCCGAGGCGGGTGGATCACCTGAGGTCGGGAGTTCAAGACCAGCCTAACCAACATGGTGAAACCCCGTCTCTACTAAAAAAAGAAATACAAAATTAGCCAGGCATAGTGGCGCATGCCTGTAATCCCAGCTAATCGGGAGGCTGAGGGAGGCGAATCACTTGAACCCGGGAGGCAGAGATTGCGGTGAGCCGAGATCGCTCCGCTGCACTGCAGCCTGGGCAACAAGAGGGAAACTCCATCTTAAAAAAAAAAAAAAAAAAAAGAAAGAAAGAAAAGAAAAGAAACAAAAAGTGTATATTGTATGCTACAAATTATATGAAAAAGTGGGTGGGGGCTATCTCCTTATGTAAACACACACAAAGTTTACAGAAGAAATGAATAAAAATAGTTAACTGTGTGGGTGGAGAAGGTGGGAACTGGGGAGATGGGAGATTAAGCTGGAATAGATACTTTATGCTTCTTCTATTTGGTTTTTGATACATGAAATATATTACCTTTTCGGTAAGTTTTATTTTAAAAAGACAATCAGCCCGGGGCGGTGGCTCACGCCTGTAATCCCAGCACTTTGGGAGGCCGAGGCGAGCGGATCATGAGGTCAGGAGAACGAGACCATCCTGGCTAACACGGTGAAACCCCGTCTCTACTAAAAATACAAAAAAAATAGCCGGGCTTGACGGTGTGCGCCTGTAGTCCCAGCTGCTGGGGAGGCTGAGGCAGCAGAATGGCGTGAACCCAGGAGGCAGAGCTTGCAGTGAGCCGAGATCGCGCCACTTCTCTCCAGTCTGGGTGACATAGCAAGACTCCGTCTCAAAAATATAAATAAATAAATAAATAAATAAATAAACAGACAATGATAAAGTTGGAAAACTTTACAATATACATGATACAAAATTGATATCCTTATTGTATAATCTTACCAACTAACGTACATTCCCAAATCATTATGTACAAAGATGATAGTCATTGTACTTTATTAATGGTAATGAAATACGAAGAGCTAAATGTGTGATAAGACAGTGAGTAAATAAATGATAAGATATGGATCTTTGGCAGGTGAATTATTTGGCAACCTTTAGAAATACTGTTCTGGGATAATTTTTGAATTTTATTATGTATAAATATATATTATTTCAATAGCTTTTGGGGCACAAGTGGTTTTTGGTTACAAGGATGAATTGTATAGTGGTGAAGTCTGATTTTAGTGCACCTAACATCTGAGTAGTGTACATTGTACCCAATATGTAGCTTTTTATTCCCCACACCTTCCCACCCTCTCTGCTTCTGAGTCTCCAGTGTCCATTATACTACTCTGTCTGCCTTTGCATACCCATAGCTTAGTATCCACTTATAATTGAGAACATAAGGTATTTGGCTTTCCATTCCTGAGTTACTTCATTCAGAATAATGGCCTCCAGCTCCATCCATGTTGCTGAAAATACATTTTTTTTATGGTTGAGTAGTATTCCATCGTCTGTGTGTTTGTGTGTGTGTATACATACCACATTTTCTTTATTCACTCATCAGTTAATGGGCACTTAGGTTGGTTCCATATGTTTTCAACTGTGATTTGTGCTGTGATAAACATACATGTGCAAGTGTCTTTTTGATATAATGACTTCTTTTCTTTTGGATAGATACCCAGTAGTGGGATTGCTGGATCGAATGTTAGATCTACTTTTAGTTCTTTGAGAAATCTCCGTACTATTTTCCATAGACGTTGTACTAACAACCTCTATTTCCGTCCCCACCAACAGTGTAAAAGTGTTCACTTTTCACCATATCCATGCCAACAGCTATTGTTTGTTGACTTTTTAGTAATATTCAGTGTACCTAGGGTAAAGTGGTATCTAATTGTGATTTTAATTTGCATTTCCCTGATGATTACTGATGTTGAACATTTTTATATGTTTATTGGTGATTTGTATATCTTCTTTATAGAAGTGTCTATTTGTGTCATTTGCCCACTTTTTGATGGGATTATTTGGGTTTTTTTTTCTTGCTGATTTGTGTGGGTTCCTTGTGGATTTTAGATATCAGTCCTTTGTTGGATGCATAGTTTGCAAATATTTTCTGCTATTCAGTGGGTTGTCTGTTTACTCTGATGATTATTTCTTTTGTAGTGCAAAAGTTTTTAGTTTAATTTAGGTCCCATTTATTTATTTTTCTTTTTGTTGCATTTGCTTTTGGGGTCTTTTTGTTTCTCTTTTCTTTTTTCCTTCAACTTTTATTTTAAGTTTAGGGGTACATGTGCCTTATGTGCAGGTTTGTTACATAGGTAAACGTGTGCCACAGTGGTTTGCTGCAAAGATCATCCCATCACCTAGGTATTAAGCCCAGCATCCATTAGCTATTCTTCCTGATGCTCTCCCTCCCTTCACACCCCCTCTGACAGACCAGATGTGTATTTCCCCCCAACCCATGTGTCCACGTGTTCTCATCATTCAGCTCCCACTTAAAAATGAAAACATACAGTGTTTGGTTTTCTGTTCCAGGATTAGTTTGCTGGGGATAGTGACTTCCAATTCCATCCATGTCACTGCAAAGGACATGATCTCCTTCCTTTTTATGGATGCATAGTATTCCATGGTGTATATATGTAGCACATTTTCTTTATCCAGTCTATCACTGATGGGCAATGGGGTTGATTCCATGTATTACTCTTGTGAATAGTGCTGCAATAAACATACGTGCACATGTATCTTTGTAATAGAATGATTTATATTCATTTGGGTATATAGCTAGTAATGATATTGCTGGGTCAAATGGTATTTCTGCCTCTCTGTCTTTGAGGAATTGCCACACTCTGTCTTCCCCAATGGTTGAACTACTTTACGCTCCCACCAACAGTGTAAAAGTGTTCCTTTTTCTCCACAACCTCGCCAGCATCTGTTGCTTTTGACTTTTTAATAGTCACCATTCTGACTGGCATGAGATGGTATCTCGTTTTTGACTTGCATTTCTCTAATGATCAGTGATGTTGAGCTTTTTTTCCACGATTCTTGGCCACATGTATGTTTTGAGAAGTGTCTGTTCATGTCCTTTGCCCACTTTTTAATTTTTTTCTTTGTAAATTTGTTTAAGTTCCTTGTAGACTCTGGATATTAGACCTTGGTCAGGTGCATAGATTGCACAAATTTTCTTCCATTCTGTAGGCTGTCTGTTCTTTCTGATGACAGTTTCTTTTGCTGTGCAGCAGTTCTTTAGTTTAATTAGATCTCATTTGCCAATTTTTGCTTTTGTTACAATTGCTTTTGGCATTTTTATTATGAAATCTTTGCTTGTTCCTATGTCCTGAATGGTATTGCCTAGATTTTCTTCTAGGTTTTTTATAGTTTTGTGTTTTACATCTAAGTCTTTAATCTATCTTGAGTTAATTTATGTATATGATGTAAGGAAGGGGTCCAGTTTAAATTTTCTGCATATGGCTAGCTAGTTCTCCCAGCACCATTTATTAAATAGGCAATATTTCCTCCATTGCTTTTGTCAGGTTTGTCAAAGAACAGATGGTTGTAGGTGTGCAGTCTTATTTCTGAGTTCTCCATTCTGTTCCATTGGTCTGTCTGTCTGTTCTTGTACCAGTACCATGCTGTTTTAGTTACTGTAGCCTTATAGAATAGTTTGAAGTCAGGTAGTGTGATGCCTCCAGCTTTGTTCTTTTTGCTTAGAATTGTTTATAGCTATTCAGACTCTTTTTTGGTTCCATATAAATTTTAAAAAAGTTTTTTCTAATTCTGTCAAGAATGTCAGTGGTAGCTCAATGGAAATGGCATTGAATCTATAAATTACTTTGGGCAGTATGGCCATTTTCACAATATTGATTCTTCCTACTCATGAGCATGGAATATTTTCTATTTGTTTGTGTCCTCTCTGACTTATTTGAGCAGTGGTTTGTGGTTCTTGAAGAGGTCCTTCACTTCAACTGTCAAATATATTCCTTGGTATTTTATTCTTTCTTTCTTTCTTTTTTTTTTTTGACAGAGTCTCAGTCTGTTGCCCAGGCTGGAGCGCAGTGCCGCGATCTCGGCTTACTGCAACCTCCACCTCCTGGGTTCTAACAATTCTCTGCCTCACCCCCCTAGTAGCTGATATTACAGGTGCACGCCACCATGCCTGGTAATTTTGTGTGTGTGTTTTTAGTAGAGATGGGTTTCACCATCTTGGCCTGGCTGGTCTTGAACTCCAGACCTCACAATCCACCCACCTGGGCCTCCCAAAGTGCTGGGATTAAAGGAGTGAGCCCCTGACTACAGCCGGTATTTTATTCTTTTTGTAGCAATTGTGAATGATAGTTCATTTAGGATTTGGTTGTCTGCTTGCCTATTGTTGATGTATAAGAATGCTAGTGAATTTTGCACATTTATTTTGTATCCTGAAGATGCTTATCAGCTTAAGAATCTTTCAGGATGAGATGATGGGTTTTTCTAGATATAGGATCATGTCATCTGCAAACAAAGGCAATTTGACTTCCTCTCTTCTTATTTGAATACCCCTTATTCTTTTCTCTTCCCTGATTGCTTTGGCCAGAACTTCCAATACTATGTTGAGTAGGAGTGGTGAGAGAGGACATCCTTCTCTTCTGCTGGTTTTCAAGGAGAATGCTTCCAGCTTTTGCCCATTCAGTATGATATTGGCTGTGGATTTGTCATAAATAGTTCTTATGATTTTGAGATATATTTCCATCAATACCTAGTTTGTTGAGAGTTTTTAACATGAAAGGAGGTTGAATTTTATTGAAAGCTTTTTCTGCATCTATTGAGATAATCAGGTGGTCTTGTCTTTAGTTCTGCTTATGTGATGAATTGTGCTTATTGATTTGTGTATGTTGAACCAGTCTTGCATCCCGGGATGAAGCCAACTTGATGGTCGTGAATAAGCTCCTTGATGTGCTACTGGATTCAGTTTGCCAATATTTTACTGAGGATTTTTGCATTGATATGCATCAAGGATATTGGCCTGAAGTTTCCTTTTTTTGTTGTATCTATGCCAAGTTTTCATATCAGGCTGATGCTGGCCTCATAGAATGAGTTAGGGAGTTGTTCCTCTTCAAATTTTTGGAATAGTTTCAGTAGAAATGGTACTGTTACCAGGGGTCCTTGTTCTTAGAGCTCCCAAGATGGTGGTGGGCTGCTTCCAAGATGGCAGCAAGCCTCTTGTTCTCTAACCCGGGGTTCTTGGCCTTATGGATTCCAAGGAATGGAATCTTGGGCCATGCGGTGAATGTTACAGCTCTATTCAGCTCGATTAGGATGAACCCCAGGCACTTAGCCTGCTCAGGAACAATGGCGAGCCTCTAGCCCAATTGGGAGCAGCAATGGGCACTGTCTGGCTGGATCAGAAGTGCAGTGGACACCCTGCTGGATCTGGAGGGGTGGAAGTCAGCAGTGGGTCTGTGATGGCAGCAAACAGCAGTGGTGGATGGTGAGTGAAAGCTCAGCTCGACCCATAAAAAAACACGGACCAGAAGAGTGTGCAGTTGCAGGATTTAAATAGAGTGAAGAGAGCTCCCATAAAATGGGAAGGGACCAAAAGGGGGTTGCTCCTCCCTGGTCCAATGCCTGAGTTTATATTCCGATCATTGTCCCTCCCCCTGTGCTCTCAGGTGATATATGATTTGACTATTTCTTTACCTCGTGCATTGGCCTAATTTGTATTTTAGTGAGACCTCTTTACTACCTGACGGGTTGGGTGTGAGCTGAGTTACAGGCCCCATGCTTAAAGGTAGGTGTGGTCACCTTTTCCAGCAAGGCATACGAATTCTTAGTTGGCCTAGGAAATCTAGCTAGTCCTGTCTCTCAGTACCAGCTCTTCTTTGTACCTCTGGTACAATTCAGCTATGAATCTGTTGGTCCTGGGCTTTTTTTGGTTGGTAGGCTATTTATTACTGCCTCAATTTCAGAACTAGTTATTTGTCTATTCAGGGATTCAATTTATCTCTGATTTAGTCTTGGGAGGGTGTATGAGTCCAGGAATTTAATGATTTTTTTTCCAGATTTTCTAGTTTATGTGCATAGAGGTTTTTATAGTATTTTCAGGTGGTTGTTAGTATTTCTGCAGGGTCAGTGGTGATAAACCCCTTATCATTTCTGATGGTTTTTGTTTGATTTTTCTCTTTTCTTCTTTATTAGTCTAGCTAGTGGTCTATCTATTTTATTAATTTTTTAAAAAACTCCTGTATTTGTTGATTTTTTGAAGGGGTTTTTATGTCTCTATCTTCTTCAGTTCCACTCTGATCTTGGTTATTTCTTGTCTTCTGCTAGCTTTGGGGTGTGTTTGCTCTAGGTACTCTATTTCTTTTAGTTGTTATGTCAGGCTGTTAACTTGAGATCTTTCTAGCTTTTTGATGTGGGCATTTAGTGCTATAAATTTTCCTCTTAACACTGCATTAGCTGCATTCCAGAGATTCTGGTATGTTGTCTCTTTGTTCTCATTGGTTTCAAAGAACTTTTTGATTTTTATTATTTATCCAGGAGTCAATCAGAAGCAGGTTGCTTAATTTCCATGTAGATTAGTGGTTTTGAGTGAGTTTCTTAATCTTGAGTTCTAATTTGATTGTGCTGTGGTCTGATAAAGAGTTTGTTATGATTTCCATTCTTTTGCATTTGCTAAGGAGTGTTTTACTTCCAATTATGTGGTCAATTTTAGAATTAGTGCCATGTGGTGATGAGAATAATATGTATTCTGTTGTTTTGGGGTGGAGAGTTATGTAGATATTTATCAGGTCCACTTGATCCAGAGCTGCGTTCAGGTCCTGAATATCTTTGTTAATTTTCTGTCATGATGATCTGTCTCATACTGACAGTGGAATGTTGACGTCTCCCACTATTATTTTGTGGAAATCTAAGTCTCTTTCTAGGTCTCTAAGAACTTGGTTTATTAATCTGAGTGCTCCTGTATTGGGTACATATATATTTAGGATCGTTAGCTCTTCTTGTTGAATTGAACTTGTTACCATTATATAATGCCCTTCTTTGTCATTTTTGACCTTTGTTGGTTTGAAGAATTTTGTTCAGAAACTAGGATTGTGGCCCCTGCTTTTTTCTGTTTTCCATTTTCTTGGTAAATTTTTCTCCATCCCTTTATTTTGAGCCTATGTGTGTCTTTATTCAGCTTGCCATCCTTTGTCTTTTTATTGGGGCATTTAGCCCATTTACATTTAAGGTTAGTATTGTTATGTGTGAATGTAATCCTGTCATCATGATGTTAGCCAATTATTTTGCAGACTTGTTTATGTGGTTGCTTCATAGTATCACTGGTCTGTATACTTCAGCATGTTTATGTTGTGGCTGGTAATGATTTTTTTCTTTCAATATTTAGTGGTTCATTCAGGAACACTTGCAAGGCAGGCCTGGTGGTGATAAATTCCCTCAGCATTTGCTTGTCTGAAAATAATCTCATTTCTCCTTCACTTATGAGGCTTAGTTTGGCAGGATGTCAAATTCTGGGTTGAAAATTCTTTTCTTTAAGAATGTTAAATATTGGCGCCCAATTTCTTCTGACTTGTAGGGTTTCCACTGAGAGATCCTCTGTTAGTCTGATGGGCTTCCCTTTTTAGGTGACCTGGCCTTTCTCTCTGGCTTAACATTTTTACTTACATTTCGACCTTGGAGAATCTGATTATTATGAGTCTTGCAGCTGATTTTCTCGTGGAGTATCTTAGTGGTGTTCTCTGCATTTCCTGAATTTGAATGTTGGCCTGTCTTGCTAGGTTGGGGAAGTTCTCCAGGATGAAATCCTAAAGTATGTTTTTCAACTTAGTTCCATTCTCCTCATCTGTTTTAGGTACTCCAATCAGTTGTAGGTTCAGTCTCTTTACATAATCCCATAATTCTCGGAGGTTTTGTTCATTCCTTTTTATTCTTTTTACTGTATTCTTTGTTTGCCTGCCTTATTTCAGAAAGATAGTCTTCAAGCTCTAAGATTCTTATCTCCACTTGGTCTGTTCTGCTAATAATACTTGTGATTGCATTGTCAAGTTCTCGTGATGTGTTTTTCAGCTCCACCGGGTCAGTTATGTTCCTCTCTATATTGGCTATTCTGACTATCCATTCTGGCATTGTTTTATTATGATTCTTAGCTTCTTTGCACTGGATTACAACATGCTCCTTTAGCTCAGCAAAATTTATTATTACCCACTTTCTGAAGCTTACTTCTTTCAATTCAGCTATCTCAGCCTCAGCCCAGTTCTGTGCCCTTGCTAGAGAGGTGTTGCAGTCATTTGGAGGAGAAGAGGCCCTCTGGCTTTTTGCACTTTCAGCTTTTTTGCATTGATTCTCATATTTGTAGGCTTCTCTACCTTTGATCCTTGAGGTTGCTGACCTTTGAATGAGGTTTTTGTGAGGTCTTTTTTGTTGATGTTGTTGCAGTTGTTGTTTTCTATTTGTTTGGTTTTCTTTTAGCAGTCAGGCCCCTCTTCCATAAGGCTGCTGTGGTTTGCTTGAGGTCTGCTTCAGACCCTACTTGCTTCAGTGTTTCTCATACCCAGAGGTATCACCAGTGAATGCAAACATAACAGCTTGCTATCACCAGTGAAGGCAAAGATAACAGCAAAGATAGCAGCCTGCTTCTTCTTCTGGCAGCTCAAACCTAGAGGATAACTGACCTGTTCCTGGCCTGAACTCTCCTGTAGAATGTGCTGGAGACCCCTGCTGGTAGGTCTTACCCAGCCAGGAGAAACAGAATCAGGAACCTCTCCAAAGAAGCAGTCTGGCTGCCCTTTGGTAGAGCAGATGCATTGCATTGGGTGGGACCGTTCCTCATCCAGACCGTGTGTATTTTCCAAAGCTGGCAGACTGAAATGGCTGAGTCTACTGAACCACAGAGTTGTGGCTGCTCCTCTTCACTAGAGCTCAGAGTTCTGTCTCTAGAACCCTTGCTGGAGTGGCTGAAGCCCCTGCAGGGAGGTCTCGCCCACTGGGGAGGGATGGATTAGGGTCCCGTTTAAAGAAGCAGTCTAGCCACAATCTGGCAAGGCAGCTGTGCTGTGCTGGGGGGACACCTCTTTGTCTAGACTTCCTGTATTCTTCAAAGCAGGTGGGCTGAAACGACTGAGTCTACTGAACTGCAGAGATGGCGACTGCCCTTCCCCCCAGGAACCTGGTCCCAACTCAGGCAGATTCCAGCCTGCTGCCACCGACTGGCTGGAATTCCAAGCCAGTGAGTCTCAACTCATGAGGTGACCGAAGAACAATGTCACTTGGCTCCCTAGATCTAGACCCCTTCCCGGGAACATGCATGGATAGATCTCCCACATTGTCATGGATCCTGGGGCTGGTGTATGCAAAACTTTTGGGTTTCTCTGTGTGCCCGAGTGGCCATTTTGGCAAGACTCTGCACAGCTCCATGTATTGGACCCAAGGCACTGGTTGTGTGGGCTCACAAGGGGATCTCCTGATCTGTGGGTTGCAAAGATCCATGGGAGAAGTGTGGTTTCTCGGGTGGGATCGCTCAGTTACTCACCACTTCCCTTGGCTGGGGTTGAGGGTTCCCTTGGCTCTATGCTGCTCCTGGGTGGACCATCACCCCACCCTGCTTCTCTTTGCTCTCCATGGGTCGAGCTGTTTGCCTAGTCAGTCCCAATGCAAGAACTCGGATATATCAGTTGAAGGTGCTAAATTCACTCACTCCTTTTATTCCTTTCCCTGAGGGCCACGTACCACAGCTGTTTACAATCAGCCATCCTGGATCCTCTTGCTTTTGAGGTCTTAATCATAAATTTTTTGCCTAGGCAAATATTCAAGAGAGTTTTTCCTAGGTTTTCTTCTATAATTTTAATGGTTTCAGGTCTTAGATTTACATATTTTGTATATCTTTAGTTGATTTTTGTATATGGTGAGATGTGGGGATTGAGTTTCATTCTTCTACATGTGGTTATCCAGTTTTCACAGCACCATTTATATAATAGGGTGTTGTTTCCTCAATTTATGTTTTTGTATGCTTTGTAAAATAAGGTAATGCGATGCCTCCAGATTTGATCTTTTTGCTTAGGTTTGCTTTGGCTGTTTGTGCTTTTTTCTGATTCCATATAAATTTTAGGATTGATCTTTTCTAATTCTGTGAATAATAATGTTGGTATGTTGATAGATATTGCGTTTAATCTGTAGGTTGTTTTGGACAGTATGGTCGTTTTTACAATATTGATTATTTCAATTCATGAGCCATGAGCGTTGGATATATTTCTATTTGTTTGTGTCATCTATGATTTCTTTCATTAGTGTTTCAGGTAATAGTTGTCTCTGTAGAGATCTTTCACCTCCTTGGTTAAGTATATTCCTAGGTACTTTTTTTGCAGCTATTATGAAAGGGATTTAGTTCTTCATTTGATTCTCAGCTTGGTCATTGTTGGTGCATAGCAGTGCTGCAGATTTGTGTATATTGATTTCTTAACCTGAGATTTTATCAAATTCATTTATCAAATATAAAAGTCTTTTGGAGGAGTCTGTAGGGTTTTCTAGGTATACAATCATATTATCAGCAATCAGAGATAGTTTGACTTCCTCCCTTCCTATTTGGATGCCCTTTATTTCTTTCTCTTGTCTGATTGCTCTGGCTAGGACTTCCAGTACTATGTTAAGTAGAAGTGATGAAAGTGGGCATCCTTGTCATGTTCTAGTTCTGAGGGGGAATTCTTTCAAATTTTTGCCAGTCAGTATTATGTTTGCTATTGGATTGCCATATATGCATGGCTTTTACTATGTTGAGGTATGTTCTGGAAGAATTTTTTAAGAGATGAAAAAATGTTCATTAATTCAAAACATCACATAGAAATCTATAAAATATGGCCACCATTTCATTATGTATGTGGGTACATGTATGTGTAATTATCTGAACTACATGCCAATAGAGAAAGTCATATTGGAAAACACCATAGAAATCCACCAAAATAATAATAGTGAGTGATCATGAGTTATTTTTCACTCTAGCTTCTGCACTGGTGAATTTTTCAAATTCTCAACAATAAAGATATGTTAGTTTAATGTGGAGGAGGTAATAAATTTTATTAGACCATAAAAACCCTAAGAGAAAAATAGATTAAAGATAAAAGTAGGCATTTCAATTAAAAAGACAGCCAAATAGACAATAAACAGTGGAAGAAAATGCTTAATCTCAGAAGTAATTTTTTAAAAGGACAAATTAAACAGTAATAGAATAATGCTTTTTTATTAAATCATTAAAATTTTAACAAAGGCAATAGTCAACACTGTCTAGAATGATTAATAGAGCCTTCAGTTCTAGAGCACTTCACATATCTGTAGAAAACAATTTTTTTAGTTTTCAAAGGCTAGGAAATTTGTGTTTTATCTGTTATACTTTAAGTCCCTATATCAGGATATTGGTAAGGGGCAAGACTAAGATGAATAAGGAGGGAGAGAAAATGTTAGTGTCTGTACACATTCAAAGAGCAAACTTGCCTACGTAGACCACCCAGGAATAGTCAGACTTGTATCACAAGAATTTTTCCCAATTCCATCCTTGAAACCACTATACCAATCTTATAATACATCCCAGAGTGAAGGGGTTATGGTTGCTTAGGAGATCAGCAACATGGGGAAAATTTTTAAAGCTGTAGACTTCACTTCTGCTAGACTTTCCTAAACCCCCAATTCCCTCTCTGCTTTAGAAATTATGTTACAGGTAATTTGTGCTATCTTTCTCTTCGTCAGTCCATATGTTTGTTGAATTGGAACTAGACCTCTTGATCCTTCACTGTCAGGACACTTTCTTTCTCCTATTACACCAAACACATTAGAAATCTCATAGGAAATAGAAGGGAAGGGATATCCATTAAATAGACAATCAGACAAAGAAGAATAACCAAGCAGGCCTTTGGACTAGGTGTCCAGGGTCTCCCCTGGAATCTGTAACTGCTGCTCTCTTTCCCCTTAACAATATTATCCTCATTACATAGACCCTACCAGATAAGACCAGAGACTGAAGGAAGGAGAGGCTTCCTTCCAAAAGGAAGGAGATTGAGTAAAAAGCCGATTTTAATCATCTTGGTGGAAATGATAATAAAAAAGACATCAATATTTATTTAGCGCTTGCTTTGTCTCAGGCACAATTCTAAGCATGTTGCACATATTAACTCATTTAATCTTCAGAAGAACCCTATGAGATAGGTACTGCTATTGTCCCTATGTTATACATGAGGGAGAGGTTAAATATCTAGCCCAGGGCTACCCAGCTAGTAAATTGATTTCCCCAAATCTGCCACAGGAAGTCCAACACCAGCAGAGTGGCATCTCTTATAAACATGCTAAATTATGCCCTATAATTATCTGTGGGTGAGAACCAATTTCTAGGAAAGTAGGAATATGAGTATGTGTTGCTAAACCAACTTGTGCAAGCCAGAGTTATTCTGTACTTGAAGCTTTTCATTTGGTCTATGAGCCAAGAAATTACAAATGTTCTGCTACTGCTTTCTGTCTTCAGGAAGTTCCAGGTTACCATTAGTATAATCTGAGCTGTGTCCATGACTTCCTTTACTCTCTTAGAATTTCCTCAAAGTCAACTGATAAGAGTATTCACTCTTTTTAATAGCCACAAAATTCTTATAAGCTATTATTATAACCTGAGCTGTGTCCATGACTTGCTTTGCTCTCTTAGCAATTACTCAAAGTCAACATATAGCCACAAAAAATACTCCATGGTATGGCTATTCCTCTATTTAATTCAATCATTTCCCCATTTATTAACATTCACTTTGTTTCTACCTTTTTTGTTTTTGCCTCTACTCATAATGTTACAATAAACATTCTTCATTTTTTGTGATAAATTCCAAGTCATAGGGTTGCTATGTGGAAGAGTATTTATAGTTTTAATATTTAACATTACCAGATTATTTACATATACATACACAGAGATGTAACAATACTCATTTTCACCAAGCCCCACCTTACCTTCAGAGCTAAATATTATCACACTTGAAACTTTTTGCCAATAATAAGGGTTAGAAAGAACATCTGAGTTTAGCTTTAATTCATATTCCTCTATTAGTGAGAATGAGCACTTTTTCATATGCTTCCTGGGCGTTTTGAATTTGTTAATCTGTGAATGGACAATTGATACCCCTTGTATATTTTAAAAATTGGGTTGAATATTTTGCCATTTAAAATTATTAATTTTATGGAGTTGAATGTATCATTTTTTTCTCCAGTGAATTATAGATTTCCTGACTTGCTTAGGAATATCTTAAGTTATGCATAATTTTTCTACAATTTTTAAATTTTGAGACAATTGTAGATTCATACGCAGTTTTATGAGCACATGTATTCTTTATCCAGATTTCCCTAATGATTACATCTTCCAAAGCTATGGTACAATATCACAACCAGCAAACTGGTGTTAATGTAATCCACTAATCTAATTCAGATTTCTCTAATTATATTTGTATAGTACTCATTTGTGAATGTGTATATATTTGTCACAATTTTATCATATGTAGGCTTGTGAATTCACCACCATAGTCAAGATATAGAACAGTTCCATCACCACAAAGACTCCCCAAGTGTTGACCTTTTATAACCACAATTGCCTCCATTCCTTTTGCTTCCTGCCCCTGTCCCTAACCCTTGGCAGCAACAAATCTCTTCACCGTCTCTATAAATTTGACATGTCAATTGTGTTATATAAATGGAGTTATACAGTATGTGTATTAGTCCATTTTCATGCTGCTATAAGGACATACCCAAGACTGGGTAATTTATAAAAGAAAGAGGTGTAATTGACCCACAGTTTTGGGGAGGGCTCAGGAAACTTACAATCATGGTGGAAGGCACCTCTTCAGAGGGCAGCAGGAGACAGAATGAGTGCCGAGCAAAGGGGGAAGCCCCTTATAAACCCATCAGATCTCGTGATAACTCACTCACTATCATGAGAACAGCATGGGGGAAGCCACCTCCATGATTTAATTATCTCCACCTGGTCCCGACCTTGACACATGGGGATTATTACAACTCAAGGTGAGATTTGGGTGGGGACACAGAGCTAAACCATATCAGTATGTAACACTAGAAGTTGATTTTTTCACTTAGCATAATAGCCTTGAGATTCAACCAAGTTGGTTATATCAATAGTTTATTCTTTTTGTTGGTGGTTAGTGATCCGTGGTATGTGTACCATAGCTTTTTTTAAAAAAAGCATTCACTCATTGAAGCAATCTGTGTTGTTTCCAGTTTGGGGCTCTTAGGAATAGAGTTGCTCTAAACATTTGTGTACAGGTTTTTGTGGGGAAAAACGTTTTCTTGTCTTCAAAATAAATGCCCCATAGTGCAATTGTTGGGTCATACAGTTGTCATGTATTTAGTTTTATACGAAATTGCCAAATAATTTTCACGAATTACTGGGGCATTTTACATTCCAACTAGTAATGTATGAGGGATCCAGTTCTCCACATCATCATCAACATATGTTATCACTAATTTTATGCCAGCTATTTCAGTAGTGATATTTCTCTTTTATTGAGATATTATTCACATACTATAGAATTCACCATTTTAAAGTATACAATTCAGTAGACTGTTTAGCATATTTACAAGGTTGTGCTTCTATTACCACTATCTAATTTCAGAAACTTTTATCACCACTAAAAGAAATCCAATACCCATTAGTATTCTGTATTAGTTTATTTGCATTGCTATAGGGCAATACCTGAGGCTGGGTGATTTATGAAGAAATGAGGTTTATTTTGACTCACAGTTCTGCAGGCTGTTCAAGCATGGCACCAACATCTCCTCAGCTTCTGATGAGGGACTCAGGAAGATTACAATCATGGCAGAAGGTGAAGGGAGAGCCAGAACATCATATAGCAAGAGAAGGAACAAGAGAGAGGGGGCAAGAAAGAGAAGGGTGAGGTGTCAGACACTCTTAAACAGCCAGATCTCATGTGAACTAACAGCAAGAACTCACTCCTTACCAAGGAGATGGCAGTAAGTCATTCATGGGGGATCCACCCCCATGTTTCAAACATTGATTCCCCATGATCCTCCAACATTAGAGGTCACATTTCAATGTGAGATTTGGAGGAGACAAAACACCCAATTCATATCATAGTCATTCTTCATTCTTCTTTGTCCCTACCCCCCATCAACCACCAGTCTGCTTTCTGCCTCTACGGACTTGCTTTTTTCTGAATGTATAATATAAATAGACTCTTATAAGCTGTTTCCTTTTATGTCTTGTTTCTTTCACTTAGCATAAGGGTTTCAAGGTTCATTCATGTTCTGGGGCTCAAATCCACTGTTGAGGCCATCTAGTGTACTTTTCATTTTAATTACTCTACTTTTAAGTTCCAGAATTTCCTTTTGGTTCCTTTTTTATACTTTCTATCTCTTTATTAATATTCTCTATTTAGTGAGACATGGTTTTCATGAGAAATGGTTACCTTTAACTCTTTGAACTATTCAAGTTGTCTGTTTCATCTTTATTGAGTTTTATGGTTTGTGGTTTTTGAGGAATTATTTCATTTGTTTTCAATTATCAAGTTTTGTGTGTAAAATTAATCATAGTATTACCTCTATTATCTTTATAATGGTTCTATAGTGATATCTATAGTGATATCCTTTGTATTATGTCTAAGGTAATTTATCTTTTCTCTTTTAATTTTTTTCAGTCTTGCAATAGATTTATAAATATAAACCATCTTTTTGAAGCAGTAGCCTTTTAAAATGGATTTTCTTTATATTTTCTTTTTATTGACATATAATAGATGTATGTATTTTGGGAGTACATGTGATATTTTGAAACCTGTAGACAATGTGTTAATGATCAAATCTGGATAACTGCAATATTCATCAACTCAAACATTTATCTTTTTCTTTTCTGTTGGAAACATTACAATTCTTCTCTTCTAGCTATTTTGAAATATATGATAAATTCTTGTTAACTATATTTTCCCTACCATATAATTGAATACCAGAACATATTCCTTCTATGTAACTGTATTTTTGAACCCATTAAACAACTTCTCTTCATCTGTTCTTCCGTCCGTCCCTTCCTAGCCTCTGGTAATGACCATTCTACTCTCTATCCCCATGAGATACACATCTTTTAGCTCCCACATATAAGAAAAAAACATGTGACATTTCTCTTTTTGCACCTGGCTTATTTCACGTAACATAATGACCTTCAATTCTATCCCTGTTGCTGCAAATGACAGTATTTCATATCTTTTTACAGCTAAGTCTGTTTTCAATTTTATAAATTTCTGCTCTTTATTTGCTTTCTTCTGCTTTCTTTGTGTTTATTGTGCTCTTGATTTTCCAGTTTCTGGAGTTAGACACTGAGATTATAGATTTGAGAACTTTCTTATTTACTGATATAAGAATTTAGTGCTGTAAATTGTCTTCTCAGAATGACTTTAGCTGAATCCCATATATTTTGATATGTTGCATCTATATTTTCATTCAGTTGTACTTATATTTTGTTTCCTTTTAGATTTTTTTATTTGATCCATTGGATCAAATGTCTATTTGTAAGTGTGTTGTCTATTTTCCAAGTGCTCAGGGATTTTCTTTTTGTCTATCTGTTGTTTTCTAGTTTTATTCCATTCTGATTAGACAATGTACTCTGTATAATTTCAATTCTTTTAAAATTATTGAAGTTTGTTTTATGGCCTAGGGGGTGATTTATATTCTTTATGGACTTGTTCCTACTTTTATCAATACCCATCCTGCATTAATTTGAGAACTGAATATTTGCAATGTAGGTCTAAGACCTCCTACCTCACCATCTCCATTTTATTTTATTTTTAAATGTTTCTATTTTTAATTTTTGTAGGTACATAGTAAGTGTATATATTTATGAGACACATGAAATATTTTGATACAGGCATGCAATATGTAACAATAACATCAGCAGAAATAGGTTATTACCTCAATAATTTATCCTTTGTGTTACAAATATCCAATTATACTCTTTCAGTTATTTTAAAATGTACAATTAAATTATTATTGACCATAGTCACTCTGTTTTGCTATAAAATACTAGGTCTTATTTATTCTTTCTAACTACTTTTTGTATCCATTAATCATCCCCACTTCAGCTGCACAACCCAAACACCCTTCCCAGCCACTAGTAACCATCCATTTTCTATCTCCATGAGTTCAATTGTTTCAATTTTTAGCTCCAACAAATAAGTGAGAACATGTGAAGTTTCTTTTTCTGTTCCTGACTTATTTTATTTAACATAATGTCCTCCAGTTCTATCCATGTTGTTGCAAATGACAGAATCTCCTTCTTTTTCATGGCTGAATTGTTTATATGTACCAAATTTTTAAATTTATGAACACTTATGTTGCTTCCAAATCTTGGGTATTGTAAATAATGCTCCAATAAAAATGGGAGTGTAGATATCCCTTTGATAAACAAACTTTCTTTCTTTTGGGTATATACATAGCACTGGGATTCCTAGATTATATTATAGCTCTGGGAACCTCCGAAGTGTTTCTCTATAGGGGATATATTAATTTACATTCCCACCAATGGTATATGAGGGTTCTTTCTTCTGCATATCTTCACCAGCATTTATTATTGTCCTGTCTTTTAGATGAAAGCCATTTTTTAACTGGAGTGAGGTGGCATCTCATTGTAGGATTCATTTGCATTTCTCTGATGATTAATGATGTTGAGCACATTTTCATATACTTGTTTGCCATTTGTATGTCTTTGTTTGAAAAATGCCTATTCAGATCTTTTGCCCATTTTAAAATCAGATTATTAATTTTTTTCTGTAGAATTGTTTTAGCTTCTTATATGTTATCATTATTAATCCCTTGTAAGATGGGTAGATTGCAAATATTTTCTCCCATTCTGAAGGTTGTCTTTTCAATTCGTTGATTGTTTGCCTCATCGTGCAGAATCTTTTCAACTTGGTGTGATTCTATTTGTTCATTTCTGCTTTGGTTGTGTGTGCTTGTGGGGTACTATTCAAGAAATCTTTGCCCAGGTCAATGTCATTAAGAGCTTCCTCAGTATTTTCTTGTATATTTTCATAGTTTGAGGTCTTAGATTTATGTCTTCAATGCATTGGGATTTGATTTTTGTATATGGTGAGAGATAGGGGTGTAGTTTTATTCTTCTACATATAGATATTCAGTTTTCTCAGCACTAATTATTGAAGAAACTGTTCTTTTCCCAACGTATGTTCTTGGCAACTTCATTGAAAATGAGTTCACTGTAGATGTACAAATTTGTTTCTGAGTTCTATATTCTGTTCCATTTGTCTATGTGTCTGTTTTTATGACAGTAACATACTGTTATGGTTTAATTTGAAGTTAATTTGAAGTATAATTTGAAGTCAGGAAATGTAATTCCTTCAGTTTTGTTCTTTTTGCTCAGGATTGGTCAAAATTGCTTTGGCTATTCTAAGTCTTTTATGGTTTCATATAAATTTTAGAATTATTTTGTTTTATATCTATGAAGAATGCCATTGGTATTTTGATAGAGATTGCACTGACTCTGTGGATTGCTTTGAGTAGTATGAACATTTTGGCAACATTGATTTTTCCATTACATAAAGAATAGAATATTTTTTCTATTATTTTGTATTCTCTTCAATTTCTTTCATCAGTGTTTTATAGTTTTCAATATAGAAAACTTTTAATTCTTTGGTTAAGTTTATTGCTAGGTATCTAATTTTTTCTGTAGCTATTGTAAATGTAAATTTTTCTTGATTTCTTACTCAGATTGTTTGCTGTTGGCATATAGGAATGCTACTGATTTTTATATGTTGATTTTGTATCCTGCAACATTACTGAGTTTGTGGACCAGAACGATTACTTTTTGGTGGAGTCTTTAGGTTTCTTCAAATATAAGATCATATCATCTGCAAACGAGGATATTTTGACTTCTTCCATTTCAATTTGGATGCCTTTTATTTCTTTCTCTTGTCTGATTGCTCTAGCTGAGACTTCCAGTACTGTGGTAAATAATAGTGGTTAAAGTGGTCATTCTTGTCTTGTTCTAGATCTTACAGGAAAGGCTTTCAGTTATTGCCCATTCAGTATGATAATAGTCTGTTATAGATGGTTTTTATTTTATTATGGCACGTTCCATCTATACCCAGTTTTCTGAGGGTTTTTTAAATCATAAAGGGATGCTGATGCTCTTTCAGCATCAATTGAAATGATCCCATGAATTTTGTCCTTCATTAGGCTGACATGATATATCACATTGATTGATTTGCATATGTTGAACCATGCTTGCATTCTTGGGATACATCTCACTCAGTAATAATAAATAATCATTTTAATGTGCTGTTGAATTCAGTTTGCTAGTATTTTATTGAGGATTTTTTTGTATCAATATTCATCAGTAATATTAGCCTGTAGTTTTCTTTTTATTATGTGTCTTTTCTTGGTTTTGGTATCACAGTAATACTGGCCTTTGCCGGGTGCAGTGGATCACTCCCATAATCCCAGCACTTTGGGAGGCCTAGGTGGGGGATCAGCTGAGAGGTCAGAGTTCGAAACCAGCCTGGCCAACATGGCAAAACACTGTCTTTACTAAAAATAGAAAAATTCGCTGGGCATGGTGGTGTGCACCTGTAATTCCAGCTACTGGGGAGGCTGAGGCAGTACAATCGCTTGACCTGGGAGGCAGATGTTGCGGTGAGCTGAGATCGCACCATTGCACTCCAGCATGGGTGACAGAGCAAGACTGCGTCTCAAAACAAACAAACAAACAAACAAAAACAACACACACACAAAACCACAACACTGGCCTCATAGAATTAATTTGAAAGTAGTCCCTTCTCTATTTTTCAGAATAGTTTGAGTAGGATTGGTATAATTTCTTCTTTAAATGTATGGTAGAATTTAGCAGTGAATCCATGGAATCCCAGACTTTCTTTGCTGAGAGACATTTTATTATGGCTTTTCTCTCGATACTTGTTATTGGTTTGTTCAGGTTTTGAATTTATTCATGGTTCAATCTTGGTATGTTGTATGTGCCTATGTATTTATCAATATCCTCTAGATTTTCCAATTTATTGGAATATAGTTGCTCATAGAAGCCACTAATGGTCCTTTGAATTGCTGGAGTATCAGTTATAATGTCTCCGTTTTATCTCCAATTTTATTTCTTCGTCTTCTCTCTTTCTTTCTTAGTGTGGCTATAGTTTTGTCAATTTTGTTTAACGTTTCAAAAAACCAACTTTTTCTTTCATTGATTTTTTCTATTGTTTTCTTCATTTATATTTTATTTTTGCTCTTATCTTTATTATTATTTCTTTTCTTCTACAATTTTGGGTTTGGATTGCTCTTGCCTTTCTAATTCTTTAAGATGTATTAGGCTGTTTATTTCAAGTTTTTCAAAATTTTTTATATAGGAGCTTCCCTCTTTGTACTGCTTTCACTGTATCCCATAGGTTTTGATATGTTGTGTTTCCATTATTATTTGCTTCAAGAAAATTTTCAATTTCCTTCTTAATTTTTTCACCGACCCACTGGTCATTCAGAATACTGTTTAATTTCCATTTGTTTGTATCTTTTTCAAAATTCGTCTTCTTTTTTATTTTTAGTTTTATTTCATCATTGTCAGAGAAGACTTTTGATTTTATTGAAAGTTTTTTGAATGTTTTAAGACATGTTTTGTGAGCTAATATACGGTCTGTCTTTAAGAATAATTCGTGTGTTGAAGAGAATAATGTGTATTCTATGGCTGTTGAGTGAAAAGTTCTGTAAATATCTATTAGGTCCTTTTAGTATATAGTGCAGATTCAATCTGATATCTCTGTTTTTCTGTTTGACAGATCTGTCCAAAGGTGAAAGTGAGGTGATGAAGTCTCCAGCTATGATTGTATTGGGGTTAATCTCTTTCTTTAGCTCTAATCACATTTGCATTATATATCTGGGTACTTGAGTGTTGGGTGTGCATATATTTACAATTGCTACATCCTGTTGCTGAATTGACCCTTTCATCATTATATAGTGATAATGTTATGGGTATTATTATCTCTTTAATCTCTTCTTATAATTTTCATCATGAAATCTATTTTGTCTGATATAAGTATAGCTACTCCTACTCTCTGTTTGTTTCTATTGGCATGAAATATGTTTTTCTATTTTTTTAAGTCTGTGTGTGTCTTCACAGGTAAAGTGTTTTTCCTGTAGGCAACAGATTGTTGAGTGTTTTTTTAAAATCCGTTAAGGCATCTATGTCTTTTGACTGGAGAGTTTAGTCCATTGACCTCCAACGTTATTAATAATAAGTAAGAACCTACTCCTGCCATTTTGTTATTTATTTTCTGGTTGCTTTGTGATCTTCTTTTTCTTCCTTTCTGTCTTCCTTTAAGTAAAGGTGATTTTCTCTGATGGTATGATTTAATTTATTTCTTTTTATTTTTTGGGTTTCCTTGTATGTTTTTTTATATTATTATTATAGTTTATCATAAGGCTTCCAAATGTTATCTTAAAACCAATTTATAAAAACTGATAAAAATTTGCAATAATTGCATAAACAAACACATAAACATGTGAAAATGCAACTAATAAAAACTAAATTTTATGAGTTCATGTCCTTTGCAGGGAGACGGATGAAGTTGAAAGCCATCATTCTCAGCAAACTAACACAGGAACAGAAAACCAAACACCACATGTTCTCACTCATAAGTGGGAGTTGAAAAATGAGAATACATGGACACAAGGAGGGGAACATCATTCACCGGGGCCTGTCGAGGGGTGGAGGGCAAGGGGAGGGAGAGCATTAGGTTGAATACCTAATGCATGTGGGGCTTGAAACCTAGATGATGGGTTGATGGGTGCAGCAAACCATCATGGCACATGTATAACTATGAAACAAACCTTCACATTCTACATATGTATCCCAGAACTTAAAGTAAAATAAAAAACTCTACACTTTAACTTAATCCCCATGCTTTTTAACTTTTTGTTGTTTCTTTTCTATCTTTTTGTATTATGTTTTGTAAAGTTATAGTTATTATTTCAATTGGTTCATTTTTTAGTCTTTCTACTTAAGAGTTTCCATGCCAACAGAGAGCCAAATCATGAGAGAACTCCCATTCACAATTGCTTCAAAGAGAATTAAATACTTAGGAATCCAACTTACAAGGGATGTGAAGGACCTCTTCAAGGAGAACTACAAACCACTGCTCAATGAAATAAAAGAGGATACAAACAAATGGAAGAACATTCCATGCTCATGGGTAGGAAGAATCAATATTGTGAAAATGGCCATACTGCCCAAGGGAATTTATAGATTCAATGCCATCCCCATCAAGCTACCAATGACTTTCTTCACAGAATTGGAAAAAACTACTTTAAAGTTCATATGGAACCAAAAAAGAGCCCGCATCGCCAAGTCAATCCTAAGCCAAAAGAACAAAGCTGGAGGCATCACACTACCTAACTTCAAACTGTACTACAAGGCTACAGTAACCAAAACAGCATGGTACTGGTACCAAAACAGAGATATAGATCAATGGAAAAGAACAGAGCCCTCAGAAATAATGCCACATATCTACAACTATCTGATCTTTGACAAACCTGAGAAAGACAAGCAATGGGGAAAGGGTTCCCTATTTAATAAATGGTGCTGGGAAAACTGGCTAGCCATATGTAGAAAGCTGAAACTGGATCCCTTCCTTACACCTTATACTAAAATTAATTCAAGATGGATTAAAGACTTAAATGTTAGGTTTAAAACCATAAAAACCCTAGAAGAAAACCTAGGCATTACCATGCGGGACATAGGCATGGGCAAGGACTTCATGTCTAAAACACCAAAAGCAATGGCAACAAAAGCCAAAATTGACAAATGGGATCTAATTAAACTAAAGTGCTTCTGTACAGCAAAAGAAACTACCATCAGAGTGAACAGGCAACCTACAAAATGAGAGAAAATTTTCACAACCTACTCATCTGACAAAGGGCTAATATCCAGAATCTACAATGAACTCAAACAAATTTACAAGAAAAAAACAAACAACCCCATCAAAAAGTGGGCGAAGGACATGAACAGACACTTCTCAAAAGAAGACATTTATGCAGCCAAAAAACACATGAAAAAATGCTCATCATCACTGGCCATCAGAGAAATGCAAATCAAAACCACAATGAGATACCATCTCACACCAGTTAGAATGGCAATCATTAAAAAGTCAGGAAACAACAGGTACTGGAGAGGATGTGGAGAAACAGGAACACTTTTACACTGTTGGTGGGACTGTAAACTAGTTCAACCATTGTGGAAGTCAGTGTGGCGATTCCTCAGGGATCTAGAAGTAGAAATACCATTTGACCCAGCCATCCCATTACTGGGTATATACCCAAAGGACTATAAATCATGCTGCTATAAAGACACATGCACACATATGTTTATTGCGGCACTATTCACAATAGCAAAGACTTGGAACCAACCCAAATGTCCAACAGTGATAGACTGGATTAAGAAAGTGTGGCACATATACACCATGGAATACTATGTTGCCATAAAAAATGATGAGTTCATGTCCTTTGTAGGGACATGGATGAAATTGGAAATCATCATTCTCAGTAAACTATCGCAAGGACAAAAAACCAAACACTGCATGTTCTCACTCATAGATGGGAATTGAACAATGAGAACACATGGACACAGGAAGGGGAACATCATACTCTGGGGACTGTTGTGGGGTGGGGGGAAGGGGGAGGGATAGCATGAGGAGATATACCTAATGCTATATGATGAGTTAATGGGTGCAGCACACCAACATGGCACATGTATACATATGTAACTAACCTGCACATTGTGCACATGTACCCTAAAACTTAAAGTACAATAATAATAAAAAAATGAGTTCGCATGCCACAATTACAGTGTTACAATATTCTGTGTTTTTCTGTGTACTTACTGTTATCAGTGAGTTTTATATCTTCAGATTATTTCTTTTTTTCTCACCAATGGCCTTTTCTTTCTCACTAAATAACTCCTTTCAGCATTTCTTGTAGGGTAGTTCTGATATTGATGAAATCCCTCAGCTTTTGTTTGTCTGGAAAAGTCTTTATTTGTCCTTCATGTTTGAAGGTCATTTTTGCCAGATATACTATTCAAGAATATAAGGGTTTTTTCCTTTAGCCCTTCAAGTATGTAATGCCACTATCTCCTGTCCTGTAAGATTTCCTCTGAAAAGTCTGCTGTCAGATGTATTGGAGCTCCATTTCATCTTATTTGTTTCTTTTCTCGTATTGCTTTTATGATTCTTTCTTACTTTTAACCTTTGGGAGTTTGATTATTAAATGCCTTTGGTAGTCTTCTTTGGATTAAATCTTCTTGGTGTTTATAACCTTCTTGTACTTGAATATTGATATCTTTCTCTAGGTTTAGGAAGTTCTCTGATATCCCTTTGAATAAACGCTCTACTCTTATCTCCTCTACCTCCTTTTTAAGGCCAATGACTCTTAGATTTGCTGTTTGGGGGTTATTTACTAGATTCTGTAGGCATGCTTTATTTTTTTTAATTCTTTTTTCTTTGCCTCCTCTGACTGTGTATTTTCAAATGGCCTGTCTTCAAGCTCACTAATTCTTTCTTCTGCTTGACGAATTCTCTTAAGAAATTCTGATGCATTCTTTCTCATTTGCGTTTTTCAACTCCAGAATATGTTTTTTACTATTTCAATTTCTTTTTTACATTTTCTTCTCTGTGTTATCTTGAATTTATTTGAATTCTCTCAAAACAGCTGTTTTGATTACTCTGTCTGAAAAGTCACATAACCCTATTTCTTTAGGACTGGTCTCCAGTGCTGTATTTGATTGATTTGGTGAAGTAATGTTTTCCTGGATAATCTTGATGCTTGTAGATATTCATCTGTGTCTGGGCATTGAAGAGTTAGGTATTTCTTATACCTAACTGGGTTTCTTTGTACCATCCTTCTTGGGAAGGTTTGCCAGGTATTTGAAGGGACTTGGATGTTGTGATCTAAGATGTATCTGCATTAGGGGCAAGCCCAAGCCCAGTAACACTGTGGTTTTTGCAGACTTGTAGAGGTATCACTTTGGTGGTCTTCCATAAGATCTGGAAGAATTTTCTGGAGTATCAGGCAGAGACTTTTGTTCTCATCCCTTACTTTCTTCCAAACAAATGTAGTGTGTTTCTCTCTCTGCTGAGCTATTTGGAGTTGGGTGAGGGGTGACACAAGCATATCTGTGGCCACCACCAGTAGGAAAACACTGGGTCAGAACTGAAGCCAGTATTGCACTTGCCCAAGGCCTGCTGTAGCCACTGCCAGGCTACCGCTTATGTTTGCTCAAGGCTCTGGACCTCTACAATGAGTAGGTGATGAAGACACCCAGGTTTGTGTTTTTCTTTTCAAGGTAGTGAGTTCTCCCAGGCCTCTACTGGGTCCTAAGATGCGGACTGGGAGCCAAGGCCTTGAGTCAAAAACCTTAGAAATTAATCTGGTGCTCTATTCTACTGTGGCTAACCTGGCACTCAAACCATGAGATAAAGTCCTTCTCACTTTCCCTTTTTTTTTTTTGCACAGACAGAGGAGCCTCTCCTCATAGCTGTCACCACCACAGGCCCATGGAGAGTACTGCCAGGCTACCACCAATGTTTACTTAAGGCCCAAGAACTCTTCAGTGACCTCATGGTGAATGCTACCAGCCTTGGGACTTACCCTTCAGGGCAGTGGGCTCTTCTTTGTCCCAGAGCAGGTCTAGAAATGCAGTTTAAGAGTGAAGTCCTGGAATTTGGGATGAGGAGGGCCCTCTTTTTTTTTTTTTTTTTGAGATAGGGCCTCATTCTGTCACTCAGGCTGAAGTGAAGTGACACAATTATGGCTCACCATAGCCTCAAAATCCCCAGGCTCAGATGATACTCGCACCTCAGCCTCATGAGTAGTTGGGACTACAGGCATGTGCCACCATGCCTGGCTAATTTTTATATTTTTTGTAGAGACAGGGTTTCACCCTGTTGCCCAGGCTGGTCTCTAACTCCTAAGCTCAATTGATCTGCCCAGATCGGCCTCGTAATGTGCTGAAATTACAAGAGTGAGTCACTGTGTCCGGCTTCCACCTCTTGGTGCTCTATCCTACTGTGGCCGAGCTCGGACCTGATATTTTTGTTGTTATGAACGTGTATTTTTGTGTAGACAGTTTTTAAATTTGATGTTCCATCAGTGTGGATGAATGGTGGAGGCTTCTATTCAGCCATCTTCCTCTGACCCGCTTCCTCCATTTTATTTCTGTAGCTACAGAGAAACCAAAGTCTCAAGAGAAATATCAAGTATTTT
Source organism: Homo sapiens (assembly GCF_000001405.40). NCBI lineage: Eukaryota > Metazoa > Chordata > Mammalia > Primates > Hominidae > Homo > Homo sapiens. Next base: position 76,109,930 of record NC_000023.11, on the reverse strand, counting down.
CAACTTCTTGTTTATTTGGGGCATATCTGCTGCAGTGGACTTTGGTTAAGGAAATAATTTCTTAGTTGCTTTTTACATACTTTTCTGTAGATGGCAGCAGAGCATCCCCGCCCCCCCCCCCCCGCCAAAAAACAAAGAAACAAACAAAAAAAAGTCCTCCTCCACCCTTTGTGTTAAAAAAAAAAAAAGAAAAGAAAAAGAAAAGAATGAAAAAGGAGTGGGTGTATTTCTGCTGTCTTGAATGCTGGAAACCTACGTTGAAAAATATGCTGTTAAAATGTGTTTGCCAAATTGTGAGATGAAAAAGATTAATTTTTTAAAAAAAAATGGTCTTTTAAGGGCTGGGGATGGGATTGCATTAGGAGAAATACCTAATGAAAATGACGAGTTGATGGGTGCAGCAAACCAACATGGCACATGTATACCTATGTAACAAACCTGCGCCTTGTGCACATGTACCCTAGAACTTAAAGTATAATAAAAAATAAATAAATAAATAAATAAAAGTATTTTAAAATTGTTGGGTTGAATTTACCTTTACACGTTTTTATTGGCTTTTTTCCCCTCTAATTTATATTTTTATTTCTATTGTTCATTTTTCTGTTGGGAGTTTTAAAAGATAATTTTTTGCCATAATAAACATAATACATCTCATTTAAAAAATTAGAAATTTCAGAAATGTTGTAAAAGAGATAGCAACATTCAGAGGCTACCACTATTAAAATTTTGATATGTCTCCCCATTCTATGCTGGTGTTTTGGTGGGACATTTTGAGGTTAAAATTATATGTTTTGTCTGATTTTGCTTTCTAATTTTTAATTAAATTAATATTATGACCCTCTGTATCTCAATAAATACTTTTCTTAATATCCTTTAAAATAATTCAGTTAAAATTTTTAAGATAATGCATATCTATCATTTTTGTAAATTATTGTTACTATTTATATTTGTCCAGATAAAAAAAAATTGTTTTTGAGACAGAGTCTCCCTCTGTCACCCAGGCTGGAATGCCAGATTAAATTTTGAATTACTTTTCCAACCCTTCCCTCATTAAGGATTTTTAAAACTCACGTTGTTTGAAATCTATATATTAATTTGAGAAGTAACATCTTCCAAATAATTAGTTTTCTGATTCAAGAATGTAGCTTGTTCTTTTATTGATTTAACTTCTTTATATTCTCCAGTAATGTTTCACCACTTGTTCCATGTGATTGCAGAATATTTCTTTTTAAACATATTTCTAGTAGTTTCTATTTTCCTCATAGTGACGAGAAAGTGATTTAACAATGAGTGAGGAAAATAAAGGCTCATTAACTTCCTCATATAATGGAATGGTTAACATGTTGTAATCCATTATACACTTTATGGAAATGTTTTTAAGTAATACATGGTTATTGTTGGAACATTGGACAATATATAAAAGCAAAAAGAAAACAAGAAGACAAAAATTATCAATGATCTCAAATCTCATTATTATGAAATATTGGTATATTTCCTTCTGGCTCTTTTTGTGTTCCTCTATTTTCTTGTTTGTGCTTCTAATTGTACAATTATACATGGAAACATGCTTCTTCTAAAAAATTCAAATAATTCAGAAAAATATAAAGCTAGGGAATAAATCATAAAAGAAAGTTTCTCCTTCACCAAACCCATTTCTCCATACCCCCATCCAGGCAAGCAGTATTGATTGTTCAATAGTTCAATGTGTATTTTTATGTTTTTCTATGCATTCATACACAGATACATAATGCACACATACACATACATTTTTTGTTGCCTAATTCATAGTTATTTTTATGACTATATCATGTTTGTATGAAAACAATTTGCATTCTTTTTATTTAGTACCAAGATCTCCATGTAGCTATTAAACCAGGGTTGTTAATTATTTTATTGAAGTCCTTTTTATTCTTATTTTTTTACTTGATCCGTTGACTTGTGAAAAAACTATTAATTTATTCAACAAATATTTATGGAGTCCCTGTCACTTGCTAGGAACTGCTGTAACCCCTAGAGATATAGAAGTGGACAAAATAAACAAAAATTCCCATCTTTATGGAATGTATATTTCGAAACAATTAACTATTTACTTCCACCATTGGTGTATGAATGTGATCATTTTATCCTTGCTGGCATTCGTGATTATTATTTTTAAAATATCTTTGTGTGTTTGGTAAAAATAAATTCATGTTCTTTGTTTTAATTTGCATATCTTTAATTAACAGTGAGATTAAGCATTTCCATGCATTTTTAGCAATTGTGCTTTCTCAACATAAATTCTCTATTGTAAGACCTTTTCCAGTTTGTCATTACACATTCCATTTTCATACACTTTTTATTTATTATTATTTATAAGTAATGTAAATATTATAGAAAAGATGCCAGAATAGTACAAATAACTCCTATATTCTCTTTGTTCAGACTGATTAAGAGCTTGCCACATTTGTTTATTACTCTCTATTTACATATTGCTATATCTCTCTCTTTGTCTATCATCTATCTATCTTTGCTGAACCATTTGAGGTTAAGTTACATACTTCATAGTAACTTTTAAATAATTTTATTATTTTCAAAAACAGGGGCAGTCAATTATATAATAAGCACAGTTCAGTTTTCAACTTTAGGACATTTAACACTTTATATTACCAATGGTATTTTATTTTTTTGAATTGACCTGAAAATAATATTGATAACAGTTTCTTTATACTTTTCATGATCATATATTTCAAATACCTGTCATATCTTCTTGGTGTCTTTTAATCTGGAAAAATCCCTAAACCTTTTAGGTTATAAATCCTGTGTAACAACACTACAAAAATAATTTCATATTATGACCACAAACTTTTGTTTTACAACTGTATTGAGGTATAATTTACAAACAATAAACCCACTTATTTTATGTATATATTAATGAGTTCTGGTAAATATATATAATTGTGCAACCACCACCATAACCAGATTTAAAACACCCCAAAAGTTCTTTTCTATTTACAGTCAATCTTTTTCTTCACCAGTGCCCAATAACGACTAATCATTGGCTGTCTGTCTCCATAGCTTTTCCATAGCTTTTCCTTTTCTAGGATTTCTTATACGTGCAATCATACAGTATATAAACTTTTGTGTTTTGCTTTTTTCACTTAGCAAAATGTTTTTTTTATTTCATCCATGTTGTAGCACAGATCATTACTTTGTTTCTTATTCCACTGTATGGATATACTACAAGTTGTTTATCCATTCACTGGCTGATGGAAATTTGAGCTGTTTCTACTTTTTGTTTACTATGGATAATGTTGGTATAAACATTCTTTTTTAAATTTTTGTCTGACATGTGTTTTTATTTCTCTTGAGTTTATACCTAGAAGTGGAATTGCTGTGTTATAAGGTAACTCTATGTTTAACATTTTGAAAGACTGCAGTACTGTTTCAAATTGGTTGCACCATTGTACCAGCAATGAATGAGAATTTCTATTTCACAGCATCCGCACCAGCATTTGTTATTGTCAGTCTTTGGATATCAGCTGTCTCAGTGGGTATAAAGTAGTACCTCTTTGTATATCTTCTTGGACAATATCTACATGGATCCTTTGCCCATTTTAAATTGTGTTATTTGTCTCTATTATTTAGTTTTAATATTTGTGTATTCTTTATATAGTTTGGACAATAATTTTTAGAAAAGTTACATAGTGTCAAAGCCTATTCACATCACCCTAATCACATCGTAGAACATTTTCCTATTCCCAATAAGATACCTAGATTTCATTTGCATTTAATCTGTGTCCCTAGATTTGCCTTTATGGGATATTTTATGTCAATGGAATCATACAATAAGTGGTATTTTGTGTCTGGCTTTTTTTTTTACTAAACATAATGTTTCTGAGATTCATCAATTTTACAACATATATTAAAATTTCATTTTTTGGGGGTGGGGGATGGAGTCTCGCTCTGTTTCCCAGGCTCAAGCAATCCTTTTGCCTCAGTCCTACTAGTAGCTGGGATTGCAGGCGTGTGCCACCATGCTCAGTTAATATTTGTATTTTTAGTAGAGACAGGGTTTTGCCATGTTGGCCAGGCTGGTCTCGAACTCCTGACCTCAGGTGATCCAACTGCTTCAGCCTCCCAAAGTGCTGGGATTACAGGCATGAGTCACCATGCCCATCCCAAAATTTCAGTTTTTATAGCTGAATAATGTTCCATTATGTAGATGTAGGATATTTTATTTATCTGTTGGGCTGGTCCACTTTTGGCTATTACATATAATGTTCCAATTAACATTCATGAATAAATTGTTTTTGGCAACTGGCTTTATTGAGATATAATTTAGATATCAAATTTACCCATTAAAGTGTAGAATTCGATGGTTTTCAATATATTTGCACTTTTTATGTATAGTCATTACAACAATCAACTTTAGGGTTCTTTATTTTGTAATTTTTACAACTTACAATCGTTTTGCTGGGAAGGGTCTTCAAGGTTTTTAGTGGCACCATCCTGCAAGTGGAATCCTTAATCCAGTAAAATATCTTTGCATTAAAAATTTATCATATTTTAAATAATAGCGACATAATGGAATAAAACTAAATGTCCAACAGCAAGAGAATGGTGAAATGAAGGATTAAACTACTCAAGTAATGTTTAAATAAAGTCATATGGGAATAATTTAAAAATTGACAGGTGGCTAAGGAGGAGGTGGTGAAGCAAGATGACCAAATTTAGCCCTCCAGTGATCAACCTCAGCTGCAGGAACACCAGATTCAACAACTATCCACAAAAAGCACCTTCATAAGAAGGAAAAATCGGGCAATACCTGGTTTTAACATCATGTTAAAGAAAAAAGCACTGAAAAGCGTAGAAAAGACAGCCTTGAATTGCAGACACCACTCTTGCCCCATCCCCTGGCAGCAACCATGTGACAAGGAGAGGGAATCTGTGTGCTTGGTGGAGACAGCACAGTGATTATGGGTCTTTGCATTGGAACTCTTTGCTGCCCTGTCACAGCAGAAAGCAACACAGGGTAGAAATCATCCAGCACCCACAGAGGGAACATTTAGATCAGCACTAGCCAGAGTGGAATCATCCATTCCAGTGGTTGAAACCTGAGTTTCGGCTAGCCTCACCACCATGGGCTAATGTGCTCTAGGGTCCTACATAAACTTGAAAGGCAGTCTAGGCCACAAGTACTGCAATACTTGGGCAAGTTCTGGTATTTTGCTGGGCTCAGAGCCAGTAGACATGGAGTACATGCCAACTAGGGAGACACTAGCAAGGGCAGACAAAGAAGTGCATGCATCACCCCTCCCCTAACCCCAGGAAGCACAGATCACAGCTCCAAGAGAAACTCCTGCTTCAGCAGAGGAGAGGAGAGAGTGAAGAAGACTTTGTCTTGCAACTTGGATACCAGCTCAGCCATAATTGGACGGGGCAACAGGCTCTGTCCCGAGTCCCTAATTTCAGGCCCTAGTTTCCAGATGACATTTCTAGACACATCCTGGGTGACAGGGAAGCCTGCTGCCTTGAAGGGAAGAACCCAGTCCTGGCAGGATTTATAATTTGCCAACTAAAGAGTCCTTGGGCTTTGAATAAATGTAAGCAGCTCCCAGGGAGTCCTTGCTTTGAGCCTTGGATGAGACAGGGCCATGCTGACTTCAGGTGTGACCCAGCATGTTTCCAGCTGTTTGGGGGCCACAGGAAGACACTACTTCTGCTTGAGGAAAGAAGAAAAAAGAGTAAAGGGTATTTCTTTCTTAAAGTTTGGGCACCAGCTCATCCACAGTAGGGTAGAGCACCTAGTCTCCTGGAGAACCTGATTCCAGGCCTAGGCTCATGGATGGCATGTCTAAGTCTTTCCTGGGCCAGATGGGAGCTTGCTGCCCTTAAGGTAGAGACAGAGGCCTGGCAGTATTTGCCACAAGGTGAATGAAGAGCTTTAGGACCTTGAGTGAACATCAGCAGCAGACTAGTATTACCTGATGTGGGCCTAGGGTGGTGGTGACCATGGGGAGAGACCCCTCCTGTAGGACAAAAGGAGAGAAAGGAATAGGAAGTACTTTGTTTTATGGCTTGGGTGCCAGCTCAGCAGTGGTAGAGTACAGCACCAAGCAGATTCCTAAGGTTTCCAACTTCAGGTTCCTGGCTCCCAGATGGTATTTCTGGGCCAGAAGGGAGTTTGCCCCCCTAAAAGGAAGGATACAAACTTGGCTGGATTAGCCACCTGCTGATTTAGGAGCCATTATACATTAAGTGAACATGAGGGGTAGCCAGGCAGTGGTCACCATGGGCCCTGGGTGAGACCCACTACTGTGATAGCTTTGGGTCTGGCCCAGAGCAGTCCTAGTGGTGGTGGCTGCAAGAGTGCTTGTTTCACCATTTTCCCAGCTCCAGGCAGCTCAACATAGAGAGAGAGATTCCATTTGTTTGGGTGACAGTCTCCTGATTTTCATCCCAAAGAAGAGGACAAGAGTCTGCCTGTTAACCCAGGAAATTCTCTCAGATCTTACTCAAGAACACCACGGCAGTACAACTGTAAGTCTGCAAGAGTCACAGTGTTAGTGAACTTGGGGTGCCCACTAATGGATATACAGTTGAAGTGACCAAAGATTTAGATTGTAATACTCAATTTCCTTTGGATACTTGAAAAGACTTCCCAAGTAAAACAGGTACAAATAAGGCCAGGCTCTGAAGACTACAATAAATACCTATTTAATTCCCAGACATTGACAAACATTCATAAGCATCAAGATCAACCAGGAAAACCTTGACCTCACCAAATGAACTAAATAAAACACCAGGGACCAATCCTGAAGAGACAGAGATATGTGACTTTTCAGATAGAGAATTCAAAATATCTATTTTGAGGGAACTCAAAAAATTCAAGATAACACAGAAAAGGAATTTATAATCCTATCATATAAATTTAATAAAGACTTTGAAATAATTAAACTCAAACAGAAAATATGGAGCTGGAAAATTCAATTGACATACTGAAGACTGTATCAGAGTGTTAATAGCAGAATTGCTATTAAGCAGAAGAAACAACTAGTGAGCTTGAATACAGACTATTTGAAAATACACAGTCAAGACTGGGCACAGTGGCTCTCGCCTGTAATCCCAGCACTTTGGGAGGCCAAGGTAGGACAGAAAAAGATATTTCATGCAAATAGAAATTTAAAAAAAAGACAGAGAGTAGCTATACTTATATAAGATAAAATAAATTTTGAGACAAAACCTATAAAACAAGACAAAGACTGTCATTATATAATAATAAAGGGGTAAATTCAGCAAGAGAACATAACAATTGTGAATATATATTTACCCAACACTGGAGCACTCAGATCTAAAAAGCAAATATTATAACTAAAAAGAGAGATAGACTCCAATACAGCAATAGCTGGAGACGTCAACACCCCACTTTTAGCATTGGAGAGTCCTTCCAGACAGAAAATCAACAAAGAGGTATCAGACCTAATCTGCACTATAGGCCTAGTGATCTAATAGATATTTATAGAACATTTTATCCAATGGCTGCAGAAAACACATGTATCTTCTCAGCACATGAATCATACTCAAAAGTAGAGCATATGTTAGGCCACAAAACAAACCTTAAAACATTAAAATAATTGAATATCAACTATCTTCTCTGACCAAAATAAAATAAATCTAGAAATAAATAATAAGAGGAACACTGGAAATTAAACAAACACATAAACAATATGCTCTTGAAGGACCAGTGCATCAAAGAATAAATTACTAAGAAAATTAGAAAGTCTTTTAAAACAAATGAAAATGGAAACACAACATACCAAATCCTATGGAATACAAAGAAAGCAGTACTAACAGTATACTTTATATCAATAAGTGCCTATATAAAAAAGTAGAAACCTTCAAGTAAAAAACATAATGATGCATTTGAATAAACTAAAAAAGCAAAAGCCAAGCAAACTCAAAATTAGTGGACAGAAAAGAAATTATAATGATCAGAGCAGAAATAAATAAAATTTAAACAAAAAATACAAAAGATCAATGAAATAAAAAGTTTGGTTTTGGAATAAAGAAAATTTAGCAACCTATAGGAAGAATAAGAAAAAAAGAGAGCAGACCAAATTCACTAAGATCAGAGATGGAAAAGGAGACATTACACCTGATATTGCAGAAATTCAGAGGATTGAGACTACTATAAGTAACTATATGGCAACAAATTGGAAAACCTAGAAGAAATGGATAAATTTCCAGATGCATACAACCTGCCAATATTGAACCATGAAGCAATTCAAAAACCTGAACAGACCAATAACAAGTAATGAGATGGAAGCCATAATAAGAAGTCACTGACTAGACAGAAGCCTAAGACCCATTGGCTTCACTGCTGAATTCAACCAAACATTTAAAGAAGAACTTATACCGATTCTATTTAAAGTGTTCCAAAAAACAGAGAAGTAGATACTTCAAAACTCATACTATGAGGCCAGTATTACCCTGATACGAAAGCAAAAAATGACACATCAAAAAATAAAACTGATAAATATTAATGCAAATTTTCTCAACAAAATACTAGCAAACCGATTTCAGCAACACATTAAAAAGATTATTTATTATGTTCAAATGAAATTTATCCCGGGAATCCAAGCATGGTTCAACATATGCAAATCAATTAGTGTGTTACTTTATGTCATTTGGATGAAGGACAAAAACCATATGGCTATTTCAGTTGATGCTGAAAGAGCATTTGATAAAATTCAGCATCCCTTCAAAACCCTGAAAAAATGGGTAAAGGCAGAGCATGCCATAACACAATAAAAGCCATATACAACAGACCCATAGCTAGTACCATACTGAATAGGCAATAACTAAAAGCCTTTTCTGTAAGACCTAGAAGAAGACAAAGATGCCCGTTTTCACCACTGTTATTCAACATAGCTCTGAAAGTCCTACCTGGAACAATAAGGAAAGAGAAAGAAATAAAAGTCATCTAAATTTAAAATGAAGAATTCAAATTATCCTTGTTTGCAGATGATATCATCTTATATTTGAAAAAAAACCTAAAAACTTCACCAAAAAGTATTAGAACTGATACACTAAGTAAATTTGAAAAATACAAAATCAACATACAAAAAGTAACAGTATATGCCAACAGCAAACAATTTGAACAAGAAATCAAAAGTATTCACAATTATAATAGCTACAAAAAATGAAATATTTAGTAATAAACTTTCCCGAACTAGTGAAAGTTTTTTAAAATGAATACTATAAAACACCGATGAAAGAAATTTAAGAGGGTACGAAATAATGGAAACATATTCTATGTTCATACATTGGAAAAATCAATGTTGCCAAAATGTCCACACTACCCAAAGCGATCTACATATTCAATACAATCTCTGTCAATATACCAACAACATTCTTCACAAAAATTAAAAAAAAATTTAAATTTATATGAAACTACAAAAGACCCAAAATTGAGCAACAACAACAACAACAACAACAACAAACCAAAATGGAAGCAATCACATTACAAGACTTTAAACTACACAGCGATTGTCATCAAAACAGTAGAGTACTGGCATAAAAACAGACACATAGACAAATGAAACAAAATAGAGAACTCAGAACAAATCCATACATCTACAGTGAACTCATTTTCAACAAAGTTACCGAGAACATACATTGGGGAAAAGACAGTTTCTTCAATAATTGGTGCCTGGAAAACTGGATATCCATATGCAAAAGAATAAAACTAGACCCCTGTTTCTTGCCATATACAAAAGTCAAATCAAAATGAAGACATACATAAACCTAATACCTAAAACTATAAGACTACAAGAAAGCATTGGGGAAACTCTTCAGGACATTGGTCTGTACAAATATTTATTAAGAAATACACCACAGACATGGGCAACCTAAGTAAAAGTGGACAAATTTGATCAAATCAAGTTAAAAGTCTTCCGTATAGCAAAGGACACAATCAACAAAGTGAAGAGACAGTCCACAAAATGAAAGAAAGTATTAGCAAACTACCCATGTTACAAGGGATTAATAACCAGAATATATAAGAAGTTCAAACAACTCAATAGAAGAAGTCAAATAATCCAATTAAAAAATGAGAAAAATATCTGAATAGACATTTCTCAAAAGAAAATATACAGATTGCAATCAAGTATATATAAAGGTACTAAACATTTATCATTAGTGAAATGCAAATCAAAACTACAATTAAATGTTAATCTCACCTAAGTAAAAATCACTTTTTTAACCAAAAGGCAGACAATAACATATGCTATTGAGGATATGCAGAAAAGGGAATCCTCTTACACTGTTGGTCAGAATGTAAATTAGTACAGCCACTATTGAGAATAATATGGAATTTCTTCACAAAACCTAAAGATAGAACAACTATATCATTTAGTAATGCCACAACTGTGTATTTACCCAAATTAAGAGAAAACAGTATGATGAAAAGATAACTGCACTCTCTTGTTTACTGCAGCACTATTCACAGCAGTTAAGAATTAGAAGAAACCTAAATTTCCATCAACAAATGAATGGATAAAGAAAATGTTTTTTGTTCTTGCAATAGTTTACTGAGAATGATGTTTTCCAATTTCATCCATGTCCCTACAAAGGACATGAACTCATTGGGAGATATACCTAATGCTAGATGACGAGTTAGTGGGTGCAGTGCACCAGCATGGCACATGTATACATATGTAACTAACCTGCACAATGTGCACATGTACCCTAAAACTTAAAGTATAATAATAAAAAAAAGTTTTATAAATACAAAATGGAGTATTATTCAGCCATACAAAAAGAATGACATTTTTATTTGTAACAACATGGATGGAATAGTAGGACATCATGTTAAGTGAAATAAACTAGGAAAAGAAAGACAGACTTCACGTATTTTCACTTATTTTGGGGGAACTAAAAATTAAAACAATTGAACTTATGAAGACAGAAGAATGAAGGTTACCAGAGGCTAAAAAGAGTAGTGTGGTGGTGGGAGATGTGGGGATGGTTAATGGGTACAGAAAT